>NC_000013.11:75074772-75226287 GCF_000001405.40 Homo sapiens | reverse complement strand
CTTCCCACCTGGCTGTGTCACTGGTCTGGGAACACATTTTGAGAATCACTGGTAGGTACATCGGTCATTGGGTGCATTTTTTGTTTGTTTCTTGGAGCTGAGTGTATCCTGATGGCGGCAGTAGTGGGCTGGTAAATGTTTAACAATTGGCTCTCTAATTAAAAAAAAAAAGCCGTGATTTGTGTTTGCAGGTTACACGGTGTAAATACTTACCCACCCCTTGGCCAGTTGCAAGCTACCAACATGGTGCCACTGAAAGTGGAGTTGAGATGAGTGTAGGTGGCTCTCCTGAGCCTGTGTGAGCTGACACTGGGACAACACTGAGGCTGGCCAAAGACAGCTGAGAAGTCCAAGTAAGGAATTGTTAAAAAGCTTTCAGCAGAGTGGCTTTATTAGATTTGGGTTTTAGGTGGATCTGTGTTTCCTGGCTCACTTTAACAGAGTCTAATAGAGTTGGAGATCCCCATAGAAGACTGTAGCAATATTTCCAGCTATGAGGCTGAGGAGTGTTGCCAGAGGAGAGAAACAAATGTGAAAACTAGTATATTAGTCTGCTTGGGCTGGCCTAACAAAATACCACAGATCAGGGAAACTTAAAGGACAGAAACCTATTTTCTCACAGTTCTGGAGGCTGAAAGTCTAAGATCAAGGGGTCGGCAGGTTTGGTTTCTCCTGAGACCTCTTTGCTAGGTTTGCAGATGGCCACCTCTTCACTGTGTCCTCACCTGACATTGTCTCTGAGTGTACATCCTTGATGTCTCTTCTGCTTCTTATAAGGACATCTGTCATACTGATTAAGACCCTATGCTTATGACTTCCTTTAACCTCAAATACCACTTTAAAGGCTGTATCTCCAAATAGTCACTTTGAGGGTTAGGGCTCCAACATATGAATTTTAGGAGAACACAATTTAGTCCATAACAGCTAGTTGGGAGGTAGTTTTGTGGCCCAGTAAGTGTAGGGGCTGAGGGCAAGGGTGCAATCCAGCCTGGCCAACATGGCGAAACCCTGTCTCTACTAAAAATAAAAAAATTAGCCAGACGTGGTGGCGGGTTCCTGTAATTCCAGCTACTTGGGAAGCTGAGGCATGAGAATCGCTTGAACCCGGGAGGCAGAGGTTGCAGTGAGCTGAGATCACACCACTGTACTCCAGACTGGGTGACAGAATGGACAGAATGAGACTGTGTCTCAAAAAAAAAAAAAAAGTTGGGGAAGAGGAGAAGATTCTAACAGGGTTTGAGTAAAGGTAATTTTATGTCCTTTATAAAATCATATTTAGCAGCAGCTTATTTTTTGCTTTTCCTGTGGGAACTTGCATATCGTAGAGGATTTTTTTAAAGCTCCAACGCCATCAAAATCCAAACTATTTGGAGCCTCACATACGGTTGCCAGGGAAAATAGAGGATGCACAGTTAAATTTCAATATTAGATTAATAAAAAATGTTTTAGTACATGTTTGTCCATATATTGCATGGGACACATTTCTACTGAAAAAAATTGCTATTTATTTGAAATTCAAGTTTAACTGGGAGCCTTGTATTTTTATTTGCCAGCAACCCTAGCTTCCTATGTACTCATTAGGGAGACACTTTTGATTGGCTGTACTCAAATCATACTAAATACTGTGAAGTTTCCTGTTGACAACGTAGTCGGTGGTCATAGGTGCTTTGCAATAGGAAGTGTAGGTATGGATTTCACATGGGCTATCTGTGAGGCTGGAATCAGGAAAACAAGAGGAAGGATGATTGCAGAAAATTCAGTGTGAGTCACTGGAAAACTGGCTACAGGTGAATGTCTGTTACTGTCCATCTAAGTGCGTCTGTAGTTTATGGTCAACAGCCTGCAGTGTCTTTTTTAGAGATTATCTGAATTGTTTCTCCAGTGTTTCTGTACTTTCACTTACAGCCAACTGAAATCTTAGCAAAGAATCCCATGCGTGTTTCCAATATTAGAGTGTGTGATTCCTTTACTGCAGGAATGTCCTGCTTTAAATCAAATGTTCGGTCTCAATCCTGAATCCCTCTGAGCAGGACCCAGCTGGCCCTACTCCTGGGTGAGACCATGTCTGTGCATGCTTTCCACACCTGGGGCCTGCCTGGCAGGCATTCCCTACACACCCTGGGCTCCTGAAAGCCTCCTGGGGAGATGAATGGGAATCTGGAGCACAGATGGGCCTTTACCTCCCAGACGGTTCTGGCTAGAAGCATGGCCCCAGCTCTTAGAAGCATAATCATGTCCATGTGTAAGTTTGAAAATATGAAATCATAAAAGTGTGTGCAATTTTGCACATTTAATGATATGTATGGGTGATCCTGTGAGTAGAACATAATCACATTTTAGGTAAATAAAAATTTCTATGGGCCTAAAATATTTTCAGATCTTTTAGCAATTGTTTAAAGATGCTATCATTTACATTACATATAATTCTTGGGAAGAGCGTGTCTTAATCATCTTTATGTTTCTCGGCCCATACAAAAGTAAGCCTTCTCCTGCTCTTACATCATATTCCTAACTTTTGTTAAAGGTCCCATCATTTACAGCACTAATCATACAGGAGCCACCCTAGATTCTGCCGTCTCTCTTAAATCCTCCTTGACCAATACATTATGTCCTTTCAGTTCTACTTAAACCCTTCCCAATCTTCCTTTCCTTTGAATCCCTCCTGCCTTAGTCTTACCGCTCAGCTGAAGAATTGCTGTGGCCTCGTCCCATCTCTGAAATAACTTGTGTTTTGTTGGGGCACAGAAGCAATGAACAGACTAGGTAGCATTAATTTAGTAGTTTCATATTTGTTACAAGTTTGAGCTTGTGCCAAATTATCCTTGTCTTCTTTCCTGATAGGGTGACTAGAAGAACCTCACGAGTGGTCACAGCCTGGAGAGTTAGTGTGGGCTGGACGATAAAAACATGGGCTCCGGAGCCCACCTGCCAAAGGTCAATGCGCAGCCCTGCCACTGTGGGCCTTTGGATAGGTAGCTGAAGCCCACCATGTCTCATTTTTCTTGTGGGCCAAAGGAGATAATAACCATAGTGTTATTATAAGGATTAAATCAGTGCCTTGCACAAAGCAAGTACTCTAAGTGTTGGTTAAATAAAATGGTGGGTTTAGGGTGGATGCAGTTTCCGAACCTGCCTCTCATCATATCTACCACAACTTGGGAATGCATCAGGGGTATGGCTGTCTTCTCATGACTGGATGGTGATTCTGAAAGACCCAGAACTTGGTTCAACACCTGCCCACTGGAATGGGGCAGGCTCTGGGGAAGAAGTCTGGGATATTAACTTATCTTTAGATTTGTATCTACATGGGAAGGCAGGGGACAGGGGATGCTGAGACAAGATATGCAATGTACCTATCATGGATAAATTCATTCTGGAGAGCTGCAGACCCTGCCCAAGAAGTGATGTCAATAGGCAGTACTGGTATTATCTATTTATTGATTTGTTTGTTTTCCACCTACATTTACTGTATATGTACCTCTTCCCTAGGCCAGGTACTCGGGCATACAAAGACATGCAAAGAATCATCAATAACAGTCAAAATCAGCAAACCATGTACCCTCACAGAGTTCAAGGTGAGATAAGGTGGCGAAGAACCTGATTCAGAGAGACAGGGACATTCAGGGTCTAGCAGGCCAGGCAAGCAGGTCCTGGCTCTCACTGAAGAGCAGAGCTCAGCAATCCAGAAGCAGCGCAAGATGAACTGTGTTCAGGAGTGATGAATACATAGGCTGGAATTACCAGCCAGCATCTAGACACAGGCCCATAATAGGAGCTCATCTATGGCAAAGCCAACTTGGGGGTGGAGGTGGGGCTAGATAGGACTCTGGGGCCACAGGAAAGATCTCTGTCCTCATTGGAGATTCTGGTCCCATATGGCAGCCAAGAGAATGCTTCTGTTCCGGGCTTCCTCCTAAGATACCTGGTTCAGAGTCTGATTTGACCATGAAAGTGCCTCATGGGGCTGGCTGAGTAGTTTTCATGCTTCCCCCTTAAGTACAGATTTGCTCAGAATCAGGGCAGGCTGAGCTGGCAGGAACAAGGTATTGCTCAAGCATTTGCTCTTTGTAAAGCTGATGTGGTTTGGATCTGTGTCCCCATCCAAATCTCATGTTCAGTTGTAATCCCCAGTGTTGGAGATGGAGCCTGCTGGGAGGTGATTGGATCATGGGAGTGGAGTTCTCATGACTGGCTTAGCACCATCTCCCCTTGGTACTGCATAGTGAGTGAATTCTCATGAGATTTGGTTGTTAAAAAGTGTGTGGTACTTCCCTCCTGTCTCTCTTCCTCCTGCTCTGGCCATGTGAATTTCTGGCGTCTCCTTTGCTTTCCACCATGATTGTAAGTTTCCTGAGGTCTCCCCAGAAGCTGAGCAGATGTCAGCATCACACTTCCTGTATAGCCTGAAGAGTTGTGAGCCAGTTACACCTCTTTTCTTCATAAATTACCTAGTCTCAGGTATTTCTTTATAACAGTATGAGAAGGGACTAATACAATAGCACTGTGTTAGGTACCCGAACCATGGTGCAGAAAGAAAAACAAAATCTTTCTGTCCAGGAGGAGTTGATGGTTTAACAAGAGAGTTATGGCCAACACAGAACATGCAGAACCAAATGCATTAGGACACATCCCCTGCCTCCCCAGTGGTCCCCACCTCCCCATTTTATCAACAGCCCTCCACACATGCCAATATTTAGGTGCTGCTTCATTTAGTGAATCTATTAGAGATTGTTAAGATGTAGTTTCCTAAAAAAAGAGGATCTTAAGTATTGCAGGGGTTTTGAAAGAAGAAGAGGACATTGTGTCATATAAAGAATAGATGTTTTTCAGGTTCTTAATGCCGTAGATATACTAGAAATTTATGTCATAACCACTATTCGTAATCCCTGCTTTATTCTTTTACAGAGATTGTCGCGGGGTTATAAGTAACTGAAAACCCAAACCCATACAATTAAATTATAGGCCCTTTCTGCTAAGTTTTGTAAGGTTGTAAAATACATTAGCAGTGTGCTTCTTTGGTTTGTGTCCTGGTATTTTAATTTTAAGAGTATTTGGCCAAATGGAGATAACCTGGGACTAATCTAATGCAGCATTCCTTGCCTTATTTTCAGAAAAAGTCATCATCTTCTTTGAAAACATGTGTTTTCTGTTCTCTTTTAAAAGTTCTCGTCTGTTTCAGATGTCTTCTCCAAGTCCGTGGAGTCAAAGAATTGCCAGCCTCTGAGATTTATTGGTAGCGGTTTTGCTGAAGCATAGGGTGGGTGATGGGGCTGACTTCAGACCTCCTGAGGAAGGAGTTTTGGGGAGGAGTAGACAGAAGATGTGGTGTAAACTATCTTGCTTGTGTCACACTCACTAACCTGATGTCGCTGTGCTTTCTGTAAGTAAACGGCTTCTCATTTTGACAAAGTCACTTATCAGAAGCCTTACAGACGTGATTTGTTGTACTCTTCATCCCAACATGATAGTTAGGAAACTATGGGCCCTGGTGTGAATTTCGGCTTTGCATCTACCAACGCTTTGAAATAGATAATTCTGTGGTTCTTTGAACTCTTGCAAGTGGAGACTTCCTGATGCCGATTCTAGTAGTGGGCTACTGCCCAAAGGGGTGTCTGCCTGTGGTAGAGCACTCACTCTCTGTCAGAAATCAATGAAGGTGATTTGACGATCAAACTACTCCCTGGTCTAGAGAAGGGTGGGGAGCTGTTGGAAGAAAGTAGACCCTCCAAAGAGAGGCACTCCTGTGGGGGCTGGCCAGCCCCCCGGTAGACCTGGGAGACACAGAGGCTGCCCCAGAAGGAAGCCGTCTTTTAGGCCAGTGGAAAGCTGGACACAGAGGAAGATGGGGCTTTTGCTCCTCTTGGGGTGACAGCATCTCCTCTGGCCAGGGTTTGACAGGGCCGCACCATGCATCTCGGGCCAGACCTGCCTGCAGCCCCGTCCCACTGCCCCTTTGGTCCAGGTCGCCCCCTGAGCCCTCGGTTATCCAGCAGCCTCATTAGCTAGTGAGCTCAGCGGGTGGAGGAGAAGGCACCCAGCAAGGGTGCAAGCCTTTTCTAAAACCTAGCGTACAGAGACAAACCCTAGTCTCCTCCCCGCCCAGACAAAATCCCGTGCCACCCTCCCCACTCCCCACTGCGTTTCTGAGGGAGTGTTTCCATGTCTTTCTCTCTGCATTTTCTTCTCAAGGATAATTGGAGGAGGAGAGCTAGGTAAGGGAAGGGGTGGAAAAGTGTATGTACGTTGTCATTTCTCTCTGGAGCCTAACTTCGGAGCAGCTGGACTCCAGACGCCCTCTTGACTAAATGATGCACAGTTAGCGCGCAGGCTCTGCTCCGGAAACCTGCCGGGCGCCCGTCGCACTGATAACCAGTAGATGGCGCTCCGCCCCCGCTCAGCCGTCCAGGGATCCGCGGCACCCGGAGCTGGGCTCTGAGGTACAGACTGGTGTCACCCGCGCAGGCGAGAGGCAAATATTAAACCTATTTTATGCGTTTTGAGAAAGAAAGTCTTTCTATTTAGGTTCACCCCAGATTCTCTGGAGATGTGTTTGGAAAACCCCCTGCCACTGAACTCATCACTGTGGCCTTTTATTCACTTACAAAATGCTTCCCCCGAATCGCAGCTCAATTACCTTTTGTCTCGCCTCTGTCCTAATACTCTGGTCTGGATGCATGAAAAACAAAACAAAGCGGCAAGGTTAGACGTCCCTTTTCTCTTCCAAAATGGTGTGTCGTTCTTGTTTTCCAGAGCCAAGTGGAACTAGTAGCCTTGCTGCCCATATATATATATATATGTATATATATATATATGTATGCAATTTGTCTGTGTTTGTGTATGTACAGTATATGTGTGTGTGTATTTTTTGCCTAAAGAAAGAAATAAAAATAAATAAGTAAATAAATACGCATTTCTTTTCCTTTAGGCAAACGTACATGCTTTCAGATAACGTTTTTACCAGTCTACTCAAATCATATGTCATTCCAGAGGTCCAATATCTGAAAAACTATCATGAATGTCTGATAGTTAATCAATTCAACAACTAGTTACTGATTGCTGCTGATGTGCGAAGCCTTATACTCTGTTGTGGGAAATACAAATATTACATTAAATCCTTATCCTTAAAGAATTTACCACCTTGTCTTAGAAAAATAGCCCTTGGACAATTAGAGCTAAAGCAGTGTATATAAGCATTTGAATATATGCAAGAAGGCCACAATATGTGTTAGTGTGTGTGCTGTAGTTGATCAAGACTGAGATCTGGAGGACTGTCGTAGACTTTTAGAGCGATATATCTTATAGTGAAGGTAGGATAGTTTGGTTGCTTCAGAGTGCCATGCCTAGTTTGAGCTGATAGTATGTTCTATCAATAAAGATGTGAATTAGGCTCCAAAAATAACTACATTTACCTTAGGTAGATAAAATGATTTACCTTTTCTTTTCTTTTTTTGAGATGGAATCTCACTGTGTTGCCCAGGCTGGAGGGCAGTGGTTCAATCTCTGCTTACCGCAACCTCCGCCTCCCGGGTTCATGCAGTTCTCGTGCCTCAGCCTCCCAGGTAGCTGGGATTACAGGCATGCACCACCATGCCCGGCTAATTTTTGTATTTTTAGTAGAGACAGGGTTTCATCATTTTGGCCAGGCTGGTCTTGAACTCCTGACCTCAAGTGATCCACCCGATTTAGCTTTTCTAAAGTGCTTCCACATGTATTATCTCAGGAATGATACTTTGCCAATATTTTACACTGTGACTTACATTCAACAATAGAGAAGCAAGAGGTGAACATATAGATATTAAGGAATAATGCATGGCCGGAACCCAGAATGCCAGTTATACCTTCATCTATTTTGTTTCCTCTGGTCTCTCTATATTTTTTCCTCCAGAAAATATTTGGTAGATTTGGATGGGAAGGAAAAATTCCTCTGGTGGGAAAGCAAGTGGACTCTGTGTGTGTGTGTGTGTGTGTGTGTGTGTGTGTGGACTTCTGCATGCTATTAAATGTCTTCCCAGAGGTCTTGGTCTGTTGCAATAGCCTTGCCAATCCTTCAATTACTGTTTTTCTTTCATGAGAAATTGTTACTAGAATGCACTCACCCTTTTAGGGAGCTGTGAATGTGGTTATAATTGCCTGTTTCTAAGATAATTGGCCTGACTGCATAGCCCTGGAAAAGTTACTTGAACAAATGGAATGTGGAGGAGAGCCTGAGCTGCATTCAGACATAGTCTCAGCTGCGAGGCTTTGCTGCCATCCATGGGCCACTGTCCTGGGTATCACAGTGTATTGCAAGAGAAATGAAACCAGAAATGTCTATAAATAAGGCCACCTCAGAGTGAAAAGACTGCTTGAGTTTTGACATTTCTTTGAAGGAGCGATGTTCTTTTGATGGTAAAATGACCTATTCTAGCTTTTGATGGGTTCTAATCCAGGAGCTGTAGATTACTAGACTCTCTGATGGATTCCGTTACCCCTTTACAGGAGGCTCTGGAGATTCAGGAACTGAATGTTATCCGAGTCTGCAGGAGCAATGGAAAGGAAAGAGATAGTGAAAGGTTGATTGATTTCAGGCATTAAATCAATGCAAAATTTTCCAACATCTATATTATTGGTACTATCAATAACCTCTGATGGCGCTGATCAGAGTTGTGCTAATGCATAACAGGCTGACATGAAATGACCATGTTATTTGCTCCTGGGGAAAAACTAAAAATACTTAAAAGTATAGGCTCCTGAGGATAACAGAATGCTGTTAGTTTTGTTCCCCTCACACGCCCCCCCCATACTGTCTTAAAAAGAAAAGGAAAGTCCTAGAAAACATTTCGTGATGTGTATCTGTTCAATAACTGAAACTTGGTTACCAAAAAGAATCTTTAAATTGTGAAGAGCAAGAGATTAATCTTTGACTGGGAAAACAGAGATCCGGGGTTGTAAAAAGGTGAGAGTAACCCAATCAAGAACACCTAATTTAATGAAGGTGTGCCCAGCCGTTCCAGGATTTATGGAAAGGCGTAAACACAGTCAGGAAAATCAACCTAACAACTCAGTGTGGCTCTTCTTTTATTTCTTGTTTTCCGTCTTCTTAACAATCTTCTCTTTTTGTTAAAGACTTGGAGGGTTACAGGATCATACAGGCTGTATGTAAAGCATTGTCAGGATTGGAAACTATATGAACTTAGCCAGTTTCAAGGAACTATTGCAAAGAGTTGTTACCCAAAGAACTTCCTCCAAGACTTGCTGGATTACCAGGCAGGGTCCGTGCTAGGGTGCTACCGGGAGCAGTGAGCAATGTGGCTCATTTTGTTAAGCATTTTTTCAGTGACTAGCAATTTAAGCATGCTTTTGCAAGCTACCACTTAATTTTTCAAAAAGTTACTGCAGAACCAGCAAATAGTATCCTTCCTTTTCAAAGTTTTTTTTTTAGCCATGAAAACACAATTATAATTTTCTACCATATTAAAACACAGCAATTCTGCAGCCATTAAAGAGAACGAGAGACCCGAATATAGTGACATGGAGAAATTTCAAAGATGTACTGTTAAAGGAAAAAAGCAACAGGCAGAAACTATGTTTAGGAAACATTTATTATTTAAATACAGAGAAAAATGATGAGAAGCATATACAGTAATCTGTAAATTTGGTTACCCTTGGGGAGAAAAATGGCAGTGCATGAGGAGTAAAAAGTAAACTTTTGCATTTTACTCTCTGTACTTCTATGTTGTTTGAATCTTTTTTTGCTGAAATATATTAATGTATTATTTATGTAATACGATAGTTTTTAAAATGTGACTGTAAATATCACAGTGCTTCAAACACACTGAGAAAAACAGCTATTTCATCTTCTGTTTTGTGTCTTGAGTATACATATATATATATATTTTTATTTCATTTACTGTAGTGCAGGTAAGAAGGGGTTAAGCCATCTAGGTCATTTTTAAACGTCTGGATTCTTGCAATCAAAGCAATCAAAATCCATTTCCACCTTAGCCCTCTGCCACCATTCATCAAATAAGTCCCGCTCTGCTGGGAAGACAATGTTGTTTCACAAGTAGGAAAAAACCCAGCTGCAAATGGTTTGCACAGCGCTGGTAGGGAGAAGTCTGCTGAGGATTCCAGGAGAAAGTGGTCAGCGTGTCTGGTCCTGTGAGGGTCGTGGTGTATGCTTTGTTTTCCTACAGTGAAAGCTTCCCTGAACATCCTGGAGAGGAATGAAAAATGTCCCGACCCGCAGAGAGGGCATCAGGAATGAGTGTTAAACTAATTCTAACATGGAAGAAATAAGCATCAGGAGTTCTCTCTGAAGGAATGGGAGCTGCAGTTCCAAAGGAGCTTGCCTGAGCTCTCTTTCTGATTTCATTTGTGTTGTCAGAAGCTGCACAGTCACTTCTTTTGATGTCTCACTTTCCTACATTGTCTGTTTCCAGACCACATTTTTGGGTTGGGGGAATTCTATGCTGGCCTGGGTGTATATGGGGATTCTTGGTGAGGGCATGGGAGGTTTTTTATTTTTATTCTTTCTAGCCCTACCTACATTTCACCTTCCTTAGGGGAAGACTTTATGTGCAACCTCCACAAGGTAGAGAGAGATGTCATAGAAGAGGGACATATGGAACCACAGCGCTGTAATTTTCCTGGCAAAGAGTAAAGCTTATTACTTCGTCAGTATCTAACAGAATCTGTTTTTTTTCCTCTTTAAGTATTATTCTGAGGCTCATGGTTGTGGCCAGGTCATTTTTTGGGTTCAAGCAGGAATAAGAATCGCTAAAGGAATTTGGGAAGGAGTTGGAGGGAACTACTCCTTCACAAAGCTATCCTCCTGGTGGAAGGGTTTGCTTATTTTTCCCTTTATAGATTCCTACTGGATGGCCAAGTGAGTATCAATGTGAACATGTTTTAGAAGAGGTACTGGCTATTAGGTACTATCAGGCATAAGCCATGAAGCATCACCAGGTTATTCTCCCTTGCACAGTTCAAGATTCAGACCTTTCCCCAAGTGCTTATAAAGCTCTCAGTTTCACACCTAAAAGGAGACTTTAAACTTGAAAAAAGTGCATATATAAAAGCTATAGTTCAAGACATTGGGATATAAAATAAAATGTGGAAAGTTAAAGAAGCAGGACTATTTAATATATATAAAATTATCATCATCCCCAAGCCTAGAGAAAAATAGTAGTAGATGTCTTAGTGTGCGCTTGTCCAGGCATGTTCACTTTCTCTGAGAACAGACATATCACTCTTCCACTGCCCACAGCCAGCCCTACCCTTCTGCTCCTGTTATGTGGAGCAGACCCAGAAGGTAGACACCTGGCCCAGGAATGTTCCATCTAGAGACTGGGTTAGGCCAACAGGTTCTGTAATGGGGGTTTTATTTTTGAAATACACCCGATGTGTCTCCACTTCTCAGCAGTTCTCTTTCTTTCTCTTAAGTCCTTCTGCTGTTTTTACCGTGGGGAAGGGGAGGAGAGGGGAGAAGCATTTCTAGGCTAACAGGTTCAGGTTCAGGTGTCTGTGTCTTGTCCTGTAGAGAAGACCTTTATTCATGTCACCAGAACCACAAGGTGCCTCTCAGGCAATAGAGTAGAGATAACTGAGTAAGGGACAAGGCAGATGGGCCAAGCAACAAGCCAATCATTTGCCTTTGTGGGAATTAAGAGAAAAATTCTCTAAGTGGAAGAATTAGAAAAAGGCATCCCTCTGCATGGAGGAAGGCTGGCAGGTGCATGCTTGGCCAGCTGACCAATGTCTTTTTGCAAAAGTCAAAGGCTCTCTTTTTCCAGACCAAAGCAGCCCAATGCCAGGGAACACCACTTGGCAAGCATAATGAAGATTCAGGCCCTTCTTGCTCCTTTGGCCTTTGTGCAGTGCACGCATGGCTCAACCATACACAGAAACCCTGAGTCTGATAATCACTGCCCAGAGACTCCAAGTTCCAGCTTGATGTCCAGAAAGTGACTGAGACTTCCTAGGCCATTGAAGAGGGATGAGGAATGAGGAGGGACATGGCTGATGGGTGGTAGAACCAGCCACTCTTGTGCAAGGTACCCAGGGACCAAGCAGGACAGAATTCATGGAGAACTCAGGCAGGGCCAGGGCTTCATGAATGCCAGCTTGATAAACACGTACCTGTAGCTATCACTGGGTTCTTGAAGTCTCATCATTTTCTGGGTTTTGGAATTTGTTTTAATTGGAGTTCTGGTTTTTCACACAAATTGGGTTTCACGAAGTAGAAGTTACTTGGACAACATAAAGAGTTCCTTTTATTCCCACAATTTCATTTTCCGTGTAGACACGAGCTTCTCTCATATTTTTCTGTAACCAAACCCCTTATGGTTTTATGCAAGGTTTTGGTAATCAATGATCTTCTCATTTACTCAAACCAATGTAGTCAAAGTTGTATATATGTAATTTTTTTTTGCTAGGCTCATGTACTCTGGTCTTCATTAGGCTCTGGAATTATTAAATCACATATACTGATTAATTCATGGTGTTTCTAGATAAAAATGAACCATGTTAGGCCCATGAGAGGCTTCAAGACAAAAATAATTCTGTAGTCAAGTAAGTTTAGAAAAGATTGCATAATATATTCCTCTCTTCATATTATCTTCTCTTTCATATTATTATTATTATCATATTAGAGTTTATGAAAATTTCTCTAATAACCTTTTAGCCTTGTTTGACTCAATATACTCTAGACTTATTTGACTATGAAACATTTTGTTGGTGTAGAATAGTTCTATGAAAATATTTTGGTAAACACCCTTCTAGATTTAAGATTCCTAGAGCTGAAGATAATTAAGGAACATTTTTCTCTGGATGTTTAAAAAGTAGCATATGTTCTAATTTGTTTATTTTCCCATTTGTAAAATTATCTCTCCCTGTGTTAAAACAACTGACTGTGGGCTTCCATTTTCTCAAGTGGCCTATGCTAGTCTGCCTTTTGTTTTTAATACTTCCTTTATTTGAATAAGTTATGATTGTTTACCATCTATTCTTTCAAATGACTTTCATCTGAAAAATAATTTTAAAAAATTTCCATCTTTTCACAGATTCTTGGATAGCTGTTTGCCACGTACAAAGTATTTTCACATTCATTATCTTATTGATTGTTGCTATGACACAGTCATTTTAAACAACCTTGCTGATAGTATTTAAAAATCATTAGGGCCATTAATATTCTATTTGGTCTGCAAAAAATTGAAATAGCTGACTACTCCATATCACAGAACTAAGAGAATATAAAATTTTGCCTGTAGCAAAAATGCTCAAAGGTTTTACTTAAACACAGATTGCTAGACTTGAATAACAAATAAAGAACAAGGAAGGTAAAGAGTGGAAGAGTTGTTTGCTGTTGTTATTGCTAGAAATACTGCCTTTTAAAAATTTTTGCTCCTTCTGATTGATTGATTTTAAATTCTGGTCATGCCACTTTCCAAGGCCATTATAGAAAATATATCCCCAAAGACTCTGGGACTCAAATCATTATATTTTCTAGCAATCTCAGGAAATAAATATCTGAATAAAAGTGTTTTATTTGTTATCTTTAGTTTACAAAGTTTATGAGAGGGAATATTATTTTAAGGGTTACTTTTTAGTTACAAGTTGTAGAATTTCTTAGTTGTTTTATTTGCCTGATTTCTTTATTTTAAGTTTCGGGGTACATGTGCAGGATGTGCAGATTTGTTATAAAGGTAAACATGTGTCATGGTGGTTTGCTGCATCTATCGTCCCATCACCTAGGTATTAAACCCAGCATGCATTAGCTATTTTTCCTGATGCTCTTCCTCTTCCCTATCCCCTACCAACAGGCCCCAGTGTGTGTTGTTCCCGTCCCTGTGTCCATTTGTTCTCATTATTCAGCTCTCATTTATGAGTGAGAACATTCAGTGTTTGGTTTTCTATTCCTGCATTAGTTTACTGAGGACAATGGCTTCCAGCTCCATCCATGTGCCTGCAAAGGACATGATCGCATTCCTTTTTATGGCTGCATAGTATGCCACGGTGTACATGTGCCACATTTTCTTTCTTTGGTCTATCATTGATGGACCTTTGGGTTGATTCCATGTCTTTGCTATTGTGAATAGTGTTGCAATAAACATACATGTGCTTGTATCTTTATAATGGAATGGTTTATATTCCTTTGGGTACATACCCAGTAATGGGATTGCTGGGTCAAATGGTATTTCTGGTTCTAGATCCTTGAGGAATCACCACACTGTCTTCCACAATGGTTGAATTAATTTGCATTCCCACCAACAATGTAAAACTCTTCATATCTCTCTGCAGCCTCTCCAGCATCTGTTATTTCTTGACTTTTTAATAATCGCCATTCTGGCTGGCGTAAGATGGTATGTTATGGTTTTGATTTGCATTTCTCTAATGATCAGTGATGTTGAGCTTTTTTTCATATGTTTGTTGACAACATAAATGTCTTCTTTTGAGAAGTGTCTGTTTATTTGACTAATTTCTATTAAAAATAAGATATAATTGTTGAATGACTAAATAACGAAGTAATAGCAAAATCCTGGAATTTGTATCCTTTCCATATATTTTCTCAGACATTTTAAATACATATTATGCTTACATTGAGATCTTAATAATTCCTACTGAATTGTAAGCTTCCAATTTTATTAAGGTATAATTGACAAATAATAAATTGCCTGTGTTTAAAAGATAAGATTGATGTTTGTTGACATATGTACACACATATAAAATGGTCACTGTAATCAAGATAATAAACATTTCCATCACCCCCACAATTTTCTTTTGTTCCTTTGTGGTAATGGTAATTTCTCACAGATCTTCACTGTCCCCCGGCAATCACTGGCCTGCTTTCTGACATTATAATTTAGTTTGGATTTTCTAGAACTTCATACAAATGAAATCCTACAGCATACACTTTTTTGTATCTGGCTTCTTTCACTCAGCTAAAGATTTTTGAGGTTTTCTATGTTGCTGCATGTGCCAATAGTTTATTCCTTTTTAAATTATCTTTTGAACATAAAATATACTTTTTGAGCATAATTATTGCTGAGTATTGATTTACTATATGGATACTTCACATTTATCTATTCATCTATTGCATGCAATGGGCTGTTTCCAGTAGTTTTTTGGCTATTATAAATAAAATTGCTAGAAAAAGTACCTAGCGGTAGCATAGCTGAATAAAATGGTAGGTGTAGGTTTCCTTTTTTTTTTCTTTTGAGAATTTTTGAAATGTCATTTGTGAAAACATCTCAATAAATGACAGATTACTAGTCACAAATTCAAAAAATACCTTGGGCATATATTATGTGCTGGATACAGTGCCAGAGCTGAGGGTATAATGCAAACAAAAATAGACATCTTGCCTGTTTTCATGCACCTTATAGTATGGCATAGGAAACAGAAGTTAATTAAATAACTATCCTGATAATTGTATAACTACCCATTAACATATTTACTCTGAAGGAAAGGAATGTGATTCTATGAAAGGATATCATACAGGGATATCTCATTTTATCAGCTTTATGTGCTTTGCAGAAATTGCATTTTTTAAAAATTGAAGGCTTGTGGCAACCCTGGCTTGAGCAAGTCAACTGGCACCAATTTTCCAACAACACGTATTCACTCTGTGTTTGTGTGTTACATTTTGGCAATCTTTGCAGTTATTTCACACTTTTATTATCATTATTTTATCTGTTGTGGTGATCTGGGATCAGTGATCATTGATGTTCCTATTTTAATTGTTTTTGGGACATCATGAACCATGCCCATGTAAGACTGCAGACTCAACTGGTAAATGTTGTGTGTGATCTGACCACTCCACCAACTGGCTGTTCCCCTATCTCTCTCCCTTTCCTTTGACCTCCTTATTTCCTGAGAAACAAGATTGAAATTAGGCCAATTAATAACTATCACAGCCTCCAACTGTTGAAGTGAAAGAGGAGTCATACGTTTCTCACTTTAAATCAAAAGATAGGAATGATTAAGCTTAATGAGGAAGGCATGTCCAAAGCCAAGACAGGCCAAAAGCTAGACCTCTTGTGCCAAACAGCCAAGCTGTGAATGCGAAGGAAGAGTTCTTGAAGGAAATGATAACTGCTACTCCAGTGAACACATGGATGATAAGAAACTGAAATAGCCTTATTGCTGCTATGGCGAACATTTCAATGATCTGGATAGAAGATCAAAGCAGCCACATTTCCTTAAGCCAAAGCCTAAACCAGTGTAAGGTTTTAACTCTCTTCAATTGTGTGAAGGCTGAGAGAGGTGAGAAAGCTGCAGAAGAAAAGTTGGAAGCTAGCAGAGGTTGGTTCATTAGGTTTAAGGAAAGAAGCTGTTTCCATAACATGAAAGTGTGAGATGAAGCTGAAAGTGCTGATGTTGAGGTTGTAGCGAGTTATCCAGAAGATTTAGCTGAGATAATTGAGGAAGGTGGCTACAGGAAGTGGCAGATTTTCCATGTAGATGAAACAGCCTTCTAATGGAAGAAGGTGCCATCTAGGACTTTCCTAGCCAGAGAGGAGAAGTCAATGCCTAGCTTCAAAGCTTCAAAGGACAGGCTGACTCTTGTTAGGCCACTAATGCAGCTGGTGACTTTAAGTTGAAGCTAATGCTTGTTTACCATTCTGAAAATCTTAGGGCTTTTAATAATTATGCTAAATCTACTCTGCTTCTGCTCTATAAATGAAACAACAAAGCCTGGGTGACAGCACATCTGTTTATAGCATGGTTTACTTAATATTTTAAGCCCACCGTTGAGACCTGCTGCTCAGAAAAAAAGATTCCTTTCAAAATATTACTGCTCACTGACAATGCACCTGGTCACCCAATGGCTCTAATGGAGATTTACAAGGAGATTAATGTTGTTTGGATACCTGTTAATACAGCATGCATTCTGCAGCCCATGGATCAAGGAGTCATTTCAATTTTCAAATATTATATAAGAAATACATTTTGTAAGTCTACAGCGGCCACACATAGTGATTCCTCTGATGGATCTGGGCAAAGAAAATTAAAAATATGGAAAAAGCTCACCATTCTAGTTGCCATTAAGAACAATTTTTGATTCATTGGGGAAGGTAAGATATCAATATTAGCAGAAGTTTGGAGGAGGTTGATTCCAACCCTCATGGATGACTTGGAGGGGTTCAAGTCTTCACTGGAGGAAATAACTACAGATGTGGTGGAAATAGCAAGAGAACTAAAATTGGGAGTGGAACCTGGAGATGTGAGTGAATCTCATGATCAAACTTTAATGGATGCGGAGTGGATTCTTATGGATGAGCAAAGGAGTAAATTTCATCTCAAGAAACCACTTCCTTTGCTCATCCAATTGTTTTAAACAGGATGATAACATAATCAGATTTGGATTTTGAAATGATCATTCTGGCTGCAGCATGGAGAATAGATTACAGGAGAGACTAGGTTGGGTGTGGAAGACCAGTCATGAGGCTGTTGAAATGGGCCAGCACGACCTGAGGTGGTGTGCAAGGCAATGGAGTGAAACATATGGATTTGAGAGCTGTTTGAAGGATAAAATTGACATGTCTCATATATGGGTGTCTTATTTCATTTTCTGTTGCTATAACTGAATACCTGAGACTGGGTACTTTATAAAGAAAACAATTATTTCTTACAGCTCTGGAGGCAGAGAAGTCCGGAGTTGATGGGCCACTTCTGACTTTTGGATGGGACAAACATTCAAACCGTAGCAATGTGTAAGGTAAAGTGTGCAGTGCAAAGAAAGGTCAAGGTTTCTGGCTTGTACAAGAGTGCCATTTGGTCACATAGAGATCACTAGAACAGGGCCAAGTTTATGGGAAGATGCCAAGTTTGGTTTTGAAAAGTTGAGTTTGTGCATGGCATGTGAGACATATCTGTGTAGATGAGTCTTCTTTCTTTCTTTTTTTCTTTTCTTTTCATTTTTTTCTTTTTCTTTCTCTTTTTTTTCTTTTCTTTTCTTTTTTTTTTTTTTTTTTTTTTTTGCAGTAGGGTCTCTTTTTGTTGCCTAGGCTGGAGTACAGTGGTGTGATCACAGCTCACTGCAGTTTGATCTCCTGTGCTGAAATGATCCTCCCATCTGAGCCTCCCAAGTAGCTGGGACCACAGGTGTGCAACAGCACACCTAGTTAGTTTTTAAAACTTTTTTGTAGAGATGAGGTCCCACTACGTTGTCCAGGCTGCCCTTGAACTCCTGGGCTCAAGCAACCCTCCTGCCTTGGCCTCCCATGTATATGGGTCTTGAGTTCAAAGGAAAGGTTTGGGCTAGGGCTATATATAAATGAAAGGAGATAACAACCAAAATGATAATATTTGAGTAAGGAGGACTTGGTGCCATGCATCACAGAGTACTAAATGCAAAAACAATAGCTTTTGAGGATTTATAGATCCAGGTGTAATGTTTTTCTTTCTACCTTTAAAATTGAATTATAAATTATCTTTCGTGTACCTCCTCAAAGTGATATCCCTGCTAAAAATGAAATTTAAAATGCTGTAATTAGGTAGGAAAAAGCTCTAACTATAACATTTTAAGTGCTTCTCTTCTCAAAAGTTTAGTGACTGTGTCTCACAAATTCAAACTCTAGTTCAAGATTTTGGTGTTGAATTCAAAGAACAGATGGTTCAACTCATGAAGGCATGGAAGTTCACTGGTTTTGCCATAGGATCATAGTAATTAATGGTAAAAGTGGCCATATGTTAAAACCTTCATGGGCAGGGTGGGTCGGAGCCAATTTTGTGACTTAAATTAAAGGACTTGGCCTCATATATCCATTTTCTTTCTCCCTGTGCATTTTACTATTTCCATCTTCTTGTGGATAATTACCAGAAGCACTCGTACCACTCTCTTTGAACAGTTTTGTCATCTTTTCCTCCTTGATCCTGCTGTAGAGTTGAAATTCTGAATTTATGACATTACGGTCATTTTCATGGCAACAGACTGTGGCATCATAAAAATTGCCCAATAGAAATTTCTGAGAAATTGCCAAGATGGATTTTTGGGCAACATAATCCAATAATTACTAGGAATTTATATTGACAACCTGCCTCTCTGTAAATGTTCTAATGTCTGACTATACCTTGAGATTTTGCTGGAATGTGTAGAATTAATGTAAAGTTCATGGGAGAGCTATATTCTTTTCTAATCTTCATCTACTTTTGGAAGTATTTCGCTAAGGAGCCTATGCATACATAGACTCCAAGAATAAATTTGGTAGTCTAATAAATCTGATTTGAGTCCCAGTTTTGGGTCATACTCTCTGTGTACCATTGGATAAACATTTTGTCAGATATTAAGATGGTGAATCCAGCTTCCTTTTGGTTTATGTTTTCTTGTTAAGTCCATTTGAATCTTTTCAGTTTTTAATCTGACTGTTGTTGCATTTAAATATGATTCTTGTAGATGACATACATTTGGATTATTCTCCAGTTTAATCTGTGAGTCTCTGTCTTTTGGTTGGTAAATGTAACCCACTAACATTTAGTAACTTAAATATCAATATTTATTATAATTTATTTGGTCATATTATTTTATATTTTCCATTCACTCACTTATTTTTCCTTTTGTTATTTCAGTCCTTGCTCTTTAGAAAGATCAAATTTTCTTTTTCTGGTTGCAAATGTACACATTCTATTTTAATACTTTGGTCATTGCCCTTAAGACCCATTCTTATATTTATGTAACCATACTGATTTTTAAAAACTTAACAATATCTATGCTGATATCTGTATATTCTTTTTATTTTTAAATCTCATTATCTTTTCCAACTGCCCTCTTGGAGAGCTCCTCAATATAATGTTCCAACTAATAAGTTTGTACTCTCTTTCCTCCTACTGTTTATCCTGTTGCTCTATTTTAAAATCTCAACTACCATATTTTTATACTTAATATTTACAGTGGGTTTTTTTCTTATAACTTCCTATTTATGTTTCATGTTACTAATAACTTTTTTTATCTCCTGAAAGATATTTAATGTCATGCTGATATGGTTGGTATCTGTGTCCCACAAAATCTCATCTCAAATTGTAGTCCCCAGTGTTGGAGGTGGGGCCTGGTAGGAAGCAGTTAGATCACTGGGGTGGATTTCTCATGAATGGTTACCACCATCCCCTTGGTGCTGTTCATGTGATAATGAGTGAGTTCTTGTGAGGTCTGGTTGTTTAAAAGTGTGCAGCACCTCTCCCCTCACTGTCTCTTGCTCCTGCTCCCACCATGTGAGACACCTCCCTCCCACTTTGTCTTCTGCCATGATTGCAAGCTTCTTGATCCCTCCTCAGAAGCAGAAACCACTATGCTTCTTGTACAGCCTGCAGAACTGTGAACCAATTGAACATCTTTGCTTGATAGATTACCCAGTCTCAGGTATTTCTTTATAGCAGTGCAAGAACAGACTAATACAGAAAATTGGTACTGAGGAGTGGGGCTTTGCTATAAAGATACCTAAAAATGAGGAAGCAACTTTGGAATTAGGTAATGGGCAGAAGTTGAAAGAATGTGGAGGGCTCAGAAGAAGACAAGAAGATGAGGGAAAGCTTGGAATCTCCTAGAGACTGGTTGAATGGTTATGAACAAAATGCTAGTAGTGATATGGACAGTGAAGGCTAGGTTGAGCAGGTCTCAGATGGAAATGAGGAGTTTATTGGGAACTGGAGAAAAGGTCACTTTTGTTATGCCTTAGCAAAGAACTTGGATGCATTGTGCTCTTGCTTTAGGGATCTGTGGAACTTTGAACTTGAGAGTGATGATTTAGGGTATATGGTGGAAGAAATTTCGAAGCAGCAAAATGTTCAAGAAATAGCCTTGTTGCTTCTAATACCTGTGCTCATATGTGAGAGCAAAGAAATGACCTAAAGTTGGAACTTATATTTAAAGGGGAAGCAGAGCATAAAAGTTTAGAAAATTTGCAGCCTGTCTATGTGGTAGAAAAGAAAAGCCCATTTTCAAGGGAGGAATTAAAGAAGCCTGAAGAAATTTGCATAAGTAAAAAGAAGCCAAATGCTAATAGCCAAGACAATGGAGAAAAGGTCTTGAAGGCATTTCAGAGACCTTTGCAGCAGCCCCTCGTAACACGGGCCCAGAGGCCTAGAAGGGAGGAATGGGTTCATGGGCCAGGCCCAGGGTCCTGCTGCCCTGCACAGCCTCAGGACACTGCTCCCTACATCCCAGTCACTCCAGCACCAGCCATGGCTGAAAGGGTCACAGTTATAACTCAGGCCAGTGCTTCAGAGGGTGCAAGCCATAAGCTTTGGCAGCTTCTATGTGGTGTTAAGCCTGTGGGTGCACAGAGTGTAAGAGCTGAGGCTTGGGAATCTCTGCCTAAATTTCAGAGGATGTACAGAAAAGCCTGGATGTCCAGAAAGAAGCCTGCTGCAACAGTGGAGCCCTCATCGGGAACCTCTGCTAAGGCACTGAAGAGGGGAAATGTGGGAATGGAGCCCCTACACAGACTCCCCACTGGGGCACTGCCTAGTGGAGCTGTGAGAAGAGGGCTACTATCCTCCAGATTCCAGAATGGTAAATCCACCGACAGCTTGCACCCTGTCCCTGGAAAAGCAACTGGCCACTCAGTGCCAGCCCTTGAGAGCAGCCTGAGGGCTGAATGCTGCAAAGCCTCAGGGGTGGAGCTACCCAAGGACTTGGGAGCCCACTACTTGCATCAGTGTGCCCTGGATGTGGGACACAGAGTTGAAGGAGATTATTTTGGAGCTTTAAGGTTTAATGACTGCCTTGCTGGGTTTCAGACTTGCATGGGTCTTTATTTTGGCTGATTTCTCCCTTTTGGAATGGGAGTATTTACCCAATGCCTATACCCCTATTGTATCTTGGAAGTCACTAACTTGTTTTTGATTTTACAGGCTCATAGGCAGAAGGGACTAGCCTGTCTCAGGTCAGACTTTGGACTTTTTAGTAAATACTGAAATGAGTTAAGATATTGGGGGACTGTTGAGAAGGGGTAAATGTATTTTGCAATGTGAGAAGTATATGAGATTTGGGGGGCCAGGGCCAAGATGATATGGTTTGGATCTGTGTTCCTCCAAATCACATGTCAAATTGTAGTCTCCACTGTTGGAGGTAGGGCCTGGTGGGAGGGAGTTGAAACTCATGAATGATTTAACACCATCCCCTTGGTGGTGTTCTCAAGATAGTGAGTTCTCATGAGATCCAGTTATTTAAAAGTAGGTAGCGCCTCCCCCGCCCCTGCTCCTGCCGTCTGAAATGCCTTGCTCCCCCTTTGCCTGTCACCACAATTGGAAGCTTCCCAAGGCCTCCCCAGAAGCAGAAGCCACTATACTTTCTGTACAGCCTGTAGAACAGTGAGACAATTAAACCTCTTTGCTTTATAAATTACCCAGTCTCAGGTACTTCTTTATAGCAGTGCAAGAACGAGCTAATACACATGCTTATTTTAAGTTCTTTGTCATTTTCAATAACACTGCTTTAGATGTTTCCCTTTGGTTGTCTTTACAGTAGTCATGTTCCTCACATGTCTAGTTATTTCGTCTTATAAGCTCATGTTCCTCTAGGGGTATCAGCTTCTTTTCTTGGTTTGGGGGAAGGGTCAAAGGCTGTGCCCAAATCTGTGTCCGCTCTGGTGGACTTAAAGAGAAGAAAGACTGTATTCCTTAGATCCTTAGATTCCACATGGTTACCCTTGATGACATTTTATCAAATACTTGTGTTAAGGTTTTACCCTTAGGCACTCAAAGACAAGCATCATTGGGAGAAGGCAGCTGGTGTTCTAGCTGGGGAGGAAATTGAAGAGTGGAGGCTCCAGGAGCATTTGCTGTAAGCTAATGTTACCACGAGGCCAGTGTTGGGATAAATATCTGTGGGGAAGTGCCAGGCAAAGCTTGTCCTCAGGGAAGACTTTAGAGAGATAAAAGCCGAATTTAAGAGCTTCCCTCATCTAGGTGCAGTGGCTCATGCCTGTAATCCCAACACTTTTGAGGCCAAGGCAGGTGGTTGGCTTATGCCCAGAAGTTTGAGACCAGCCCGGGAAACATCATGAAACCCCATCTCTACAAAAACAAAATATAAAAATTAGCTGGGTGTGGTGGTGCATGCCTATAGTACCAGTTACTCAGGAGGCTGAGGTGGGAGGATTGCTTGAGTCTAGGAACTTGAAGCTGCGTGAGTCATGATTGTGCCACTGTACTCCAGCCTGGACGGCAAAGCAAGACCTTGTCTTAAAAAAAAAAAAAAGAAAAAAAAATCAAGTTAAAATTAAAAAAAAAAGCTTTTCTCTACTAGAGCTTCTCCATCACTAGTTTTGAGACAAGAAGCAAGCACCATTTTGGTGGCCACTCTCTCTTTTTGACCTCATAAAACAGGTAGTTCTGGATTCGGGAGTTTTTATTCCTGTGGAGTCTATGTCCCTTGAAGGCAGGGATCATGTCTGTCTTGCTGCCTATTTTCTCTCACCTGCTTCTGCCATTACCCTTTTATTCTTGACTTTTCCATTACTTAGGGTTTAGGTTTAACTGTGACTCTCAAACAAGTAGAAGTTTATTTTCCTTCCATGCCAAAGGCTGGTAGAAAGTGATCTAGGGTGGATACAGTGGCTTTGCTTCATGGAATCCTCTTACTGGTGAGACCCAGTCTCTTACCAGTTTACCTCCCTGCTAACCCTGAGCTGCAGTTCAAGATGGTGACACCACCTTATATGCAGAGGGTAGGCAGGAATGAAGAAGGATTAGTAAAAGACATAACCTGGTTGTTTCCTGGCAGGATGTTTCAGGAAGCTGCCTCATAAAACTTGTCTTTACATATAAGCCACAACTTAATTGCATGGTTATAACTAGCTTCAAGGAAACTAGTCTTTACTGTGTCTAGTCACATACCCAACTAAAAATTCTACAATTATGGAATAAAGGAAGAATATGGTCTCAGTTACCTCTTCCTTCTTTTCTTCTTCAATGTAGCTTGTTTTCCTAGTTCCTTTTGTTCCTGACTCCTTTTCATTCCTTCCCCAAACATTATTTAGTGTCTAGTGTGCACCAGGGGCTGTATTTTGGCCTGCATTTCTATCATTTATTTGGAGGACAAAGATACTTTACTATAGAATGAGGAAATCTCAGGGAGAAACATGTAGGTTGAATACAGAAGTTATACATGTTGTATGAAAATGGTTTGCTATTTACAGATAAAGAAATATCTGTAAATCAAAGATATTTTGCCTCGATCAAAGCCTTTCTAGGCAGGAGAAAAATCATGACTTCAGTCACAGAGGTAGAAATAATGTGGAGGTAAATAGATCAATTTGACCAAATACTAGGCTATATTTTAAAGAATAGGGGGAGGAACATTTGGAGAGGTGGGTGTCAAACCATGACAACCCTTTAATGGCAGATAAAGGTGTTTAGAGTTAGGCAACAGGGAACCTCTTCAAATTTATACCTAGGAGAGTAGCTTATGAACACACAATTTTAGGAATCATGTGGCCTGAGAGGAACCTGGAGACATTTAAGTTTGAGGTCTAGAATGTTGACATTGGGAAGGAAAGTGGTAACTGGTAGACACAGTCTCCTTGTACCTCCACCATATTTAGAACATGGTTTCCACTTTTCAGTTTACCTCAAAGTCCAAGATGGCTGTGGGAAATCTAGATGTTGCCTTTACAGTCCAGGAACAATGGAAAAATAGGACTCTCTGGATCAGTTTCCTTTATGTATACCTCTTGGTAGTTGCCTATAACACTTCTGCTTTTATCTCATTGGCCCGAACTTAGTTATGTGACTACATCTATCTGCAGGGGAAACCGGGGAATCTAATATTGTGTTCTGAGTGATGATATACTCAGCTAAAATAATTAGTATTTAGTTACTATTGGGGTGGTGTCCCAACCTTGTTATTAAGAAAGAAGTAAGGACTGAATATTAAAAGGCAATCAGCAGTTTCTTCCCTATCTTAGATTAGCCTAATTAAGGGAAGTATATCCAAAACTCTGTGGCTGGCGAAGTGGGGTAGTGGTTAAGGGACTTTATGCCAGGTAAATGTTATGAGAGGAAAAATGTGGGGAGGAAGAAGGGAAAAAGGACACAGAGATTCCAGAGGTTGAGGGTCAGAATATTTTCAAATGAACTACTCTGGGAAATCTCCTGTCTACAATGTCAACAGTTGAGCGTTGGCAATGTGACAACTCATGCCAAGGGAGGTGGGTAGGGCTGTAGCCCTGCTGTGTACTTCTAGGGAGCGCCATTCATGTGGAATATATGAGTGGTGCCTCTGAAATTGCAATACAATCCAGCAGCAGCCTGGGCTGCTGTCATGGAGTGGGGGTGGTCCTGACACTGTGGCCTGACCCTATTCTTTTATTTGAGGGGTCTTAGTGGCAGGCAGCTCAAAGCAGTCTTCTCAGGGCTCAGTTCATTGTATTCTCTGTTTCTTTAGGAAGAACACTTGCAGAGTAAGAAAGAAGGATGAGAGAAAGGGAAGGGGATGGGATGTCAACTAGGCTCCTGTTTTAGGAGTCTGCATGGCTAGTGGTCTTTATTTGATTCACTTCATACAGCTTAGGGAAGAAATTAGAAATCCTAGCTGGACACTTTAAGATTTTATCAGCAATTTGGACTTCTGACTTGGAACTCTCGATTATAGGCAATTTTAATAAAAAACCAAGGGGTTTCACAGAAGCTTAGAAAGAAAGAACAAGAGTAATGAGAGCAACAGTGACGTGGTGGGAAAATTCTATTGAACTTGGAGTCATACAATGCGAATTTTAATTATAACTTTGTCACTTGCGAGCGGGGTGATCTTGGTCAAATTATGTAGTATCTCTGAGTTTCAATTTCCTTATCTTTAGAGAGTAATTATAAAAGAATAATCCCAAGGTTGCTGTGAGGAATAAAGGAGTTAGTGAATAATGGACACAGAGGCTGCTGCTAGTGTAATAGGAAAACTAAAGGGCAACCGGGAAAATCTGACACTGGTGATAAAGTACATTCAACCTTTTCTTGCCAATATCCTCGGCCCCTCCTGAGTTACCTCCCTTCCGTGTGACTGTAGGGCTCTAGCATGCCTTTCCTAGGCTCACATCTGGGAAAATAACACAACCATGAATATTTTCACCACAAAATTTTATGGTCACCAACCTCAATTTGGCCTTTAATACTGCTCACTGATTCTTCTATGCTTTGTTCTTTCTGGTTTTGTATCTTTTTTTTTTTTTTTTAATGGATGCTCCAAAAACGTTACTCCTCCTTCTCCCCTCCTGCCCTGGCTTTCCCTCCCTTAGCCCTTATCAAGTGACATCACTTCCCATTTCACAGAGAAATTAGATGCCTTTTTAACTCTCTGTCAGCACTTAACCGGCAAGCTTAACTTTCTTCACATCCATCCTTCCTGCCTTCCTTCTTGTTAATGGAAGAGGTGACCTTCATGTAATGGGCAAGTCCTCTATTTATTTTGAGGGTCTAACCCTGTCTGCTTTCTCAGGGTTCTGGTTTCATCAACCATCCCTTCTCTTCTGTATCTTAAAGTTTTCCCTTCATACTGACTCTTTTTTGTAAGCATTTAAACATCCCTTACTTTTTGCCATTTTAAGAATAAAATCTGGCCGGGCGCTATGGCTCATGCCTGTAATTCCAACAATTTGTGAGGCTGAAGTGGGAAGATTGCTTGAGCTCAGGAGTTTGGGACCAGCCTGGGCAACATGGTGAGACCCCTGTCTCTACTAAAAATATTAAAAATAATTAGCTGGGCATGGTGGCACGTGCCTGTGGTCTCAGTTACTCCAGAGGCTGAGACAGGGGAGGATTGCTTGAGCCTGGGAAATCGAGACTACAGTGACCTATGATCCAGCCACTGCACTCCAGCCTGGGCAACAGAGTGACACCTTGTCTGAAACAAAACAAACAAAATAATAAAATCTTCCTTGACTAAATTTCCTATTCCAACGACTTCCTTCACATCACTCACATTCCATGTACAAAGCCATCTGCGTGGCTAACCTCAGTGTCAATAGGACAGAGAAGTACTCATCTCCTTCAGAGAAGCACTGCAAGTTACAAAGTAATGGGTAGGGATGTATAATTATCCTATAGCAAGGGAAGTGAATAATTAAAACGCAATCTACCACATCCTCTTTATTGCCAGACTTTTTGAAAGAGTTGTCTCTATTGCTAGACTTAAAAAAAAAATCTATTTCTTCAGTTTGGTTTCTGCCTCCACCACTTTAGTGAAACTGCTCATGCCAAGGCCGCTGATGATTTTCTTGTTGCTAAAACCAAAGCACATATTTCAGTTATACAGTACCCAGCTTTTACCAACATTTGAAAACATAGACCCCTCCCTCCTATTAATTCTTTCCTCAGCATCTTGACTTTACTCCCCTGGTTACCCCCTCTCTCTCTGGCTGCTTTTTCTCACTGTCTCTTGTGGGCTCTTTCCCTTGGGCAATTCCTTAAATGTTGGTTTGTGTCACGTCAATTCCCTTCTCAATCCCTCAATAGTCTCTACTTCCAGTTCTCCAATCATGTTCTACATTTTGCAATACATCCTAGATGTGCCAAAGTATAGCTTTTCTTATTTTTAATAACAGATACAATTGTGCTCAACCCTTTTCCCCCTAGAAAGGGGTGGTGGGGAAAAACATAAATGAATTATATTAAAAATTAAACAAATTAAATTAATTCATCATCTTCTAGTTTTAATGTCTCTTGCAGGTAAATCTTATGTGAACTCAATCTTCCTTTAATGTGATTTCTTATCTCTCAAGGAGCCTTCTTTTCTTCTCACTGCCTGCCTCTCGAGGGAGTGTGGATGCAGAAGTGCGCGTAAGCCTTTAGCTATTGATGGAAGCATGGACGTGTAACTGGCTTATGGAACGTACTGAATTCAGTAGGGTGGAAGCTGAAAGCAACTTTATTCTCTCTTACCATTGCCCCATTCAAATCAACTTTCTCTTCTTGTTACTCTCTAATAACTGGAGGAAATTTGGGGTAGGATTAAAGATTTTTGTGTTTATATAATAAAAAAATACAGTCCAATTTAGTAATCATACAATACTAATCTCCAATCCAGTTTTCTTCTCCACAAACCAGTTGTGCCTGCCTAGAATCCTCCAGTGGGAGGAAGAAATAGTTTCTTTTCTGTTTTTCATTCATTGGCTAGATGTTTTTGAAGCCCGTCTAAGGGAGGAAAGAGGTAAGGAAAAAAAGAGATTTTTCCTTAGGTTCATTTTATCTTGTGTTGATGCTCTCTGGCTGCAAGAGATAAGTATAACGAGCTGACTCTCTCACTGGGCTCTTTGTGCATTTTTGGAGATGTTCCCATGGGTGGGAGTTGCCAAATTGCGTTTTGCTTGACTTTGGGCTTAATTGCTCTAGCAGTTACATCTGCTCATCACCTCGCCCCTGCCCTCATTCCTAGCCCCCAGCTTCCACTGCCCTCTGGGTTCTGCTATCCACAGTGATCCTGGGACCAGTGCTCCCTGGGCCTCTGTGTTGCTCCTCCAGGGTTCTCTTGGAAGAAAACTTTTATCAGAAATGTGCTTTTTAGAGAGAATGATGAGGCTCTTCTTCCTCCTCCTTCTCTTCATCCTCTTTCTTCTCTTTCTCTCTCTCTTACTCTCTTTTTTCTTTTTTTTTGTTTTTTGAGGATGGGTTAGGTTTCAGTGGAAATCAACAGCAACTGGAAAAGAAAGTATTAGGCTATGAATAAATATGGAGCTACAAAAGATTTATTACAAGACTTAATTGCATTATTTGCAGTGAAATCTATAATACCTTCCCAGTAAGCAAATCCAAATAAAACAAGTACATGGCATTAAGGAGTAACAGAGGAGGGAAGAGGTTAGTGAACGACAGACAATAAGCAGTAAAAATTAAATAGATACTTAGAACATTCATCTTTTGGTAAAAGTTAAGGAATGTTTTATCTTAACAGTCTGAACAAATGTTCAGGAAAATATAATGCTCTATTTTTAACTGATACTCCTTTTACTCAAAGATATGATAATCTGTTTTTAGTAAATGAGTAAAGGTAGAACTTTTCACCTTTTTGTTATTGAAATCATACAAAACATGTCGAGACTCAAACCTGGGACTTTAAGGAAAAGCAATTTAACAGATAGGGATGTGTATATGGTCACTTTGGGATCCAGGAGTTGTTCACAACCTAAGCAATATATCAGTGTTGAGTTAGGGATGAATGAGACATTTGCCTTTCTTGTAAAACAAGGGAGAAAGGCTTCTGTGAAATGGAAAGCACGATCCCTTTCATAGATTAATTTATGAAGAAATATGCAAAAAAGTTGAGGATACAGAGATTAATTTCTTGAAACCATTTTGCCCATTTTTTCCCTTTGGAAACCCTAGTATACCCTCCAGGGATATATGTACTTCCAGTTACTGTTTTAGGGAGTGCCCTTTCCATTTAGGATGTGAGGGATTCTTGATGCTCACAGTATTCGCTTTCTTTTAGGCTTCTGCCAAAACTGAGCTACAGGGAGTATCATATTTAACTTCCCATTTCACACATATATACATTCTCCTGGGAGGAGAATCTGTAGCTCTCATTAGCTTTATAAGGGGTCCACTTTACCCAGAAGAGTTAAGAAATTCTGACCAACAGATTGACCTCCTTTTGCAATCCTATTATTAGGCTACTATAAATGCAACATATGACTGTATATTGCATACCGTACATAACATTCCTGCCTTGTTTTGATTCTGCAGACCAAATGGTCTGCTTCTGTCAAGTTCTTCCCATATCCACTGGGGACTCAGCTGCCATTCCACAGGGCATGGGAGTGCAAATTAGTTATTCAGTCTCCTTTGGCAGACAGTGAGAGCACTATGCAATCTGTTACCCCATTTAAATATCTGTGGCACAAACAATCACTTAAACGTGATTATAGTTATTTGATGCTACAACTTAATTTCATGATAAAATTGTATGTTTTAAAAAATCTCTTTGCCAGTTTTTTATAAGATCGTGTTGTACAAAGGACTTGCTTTGCTTGAAATCAGATATCCACTGGTAATTTGCGCAACATGCACACCAAACATGGAATGTTTTTGTGGGAAGGCAAAAAGACCAATAGCAAGACTATGTTTTGTTTTCTTTAGAAAAATGCTGCAAAGCAAGGACTGTTTAAAGAGTATGCTTTTGGATGGGTGCAGAGGTAGTGGGAAAGAGGGGAAATGCTTATCTGAAAAATTCCTTAACCGCAGCTGAGACCTACGCAGGTAAAAAGATGACACAAAGGAAGACAGAAAAGTGCATCCTAATCTAACGGAACTGAGAGAACCACCAAACTGTCAATTCACTGAGCTGTGGCTGTAGAAACAGAATGGAGCCTTTCAATTCTGCTGCCTTCTCCCTGGGGTTAGAGACCGGTTGCCATGGATATTCTGGATTCCTGCAGCTAATGGGAGGGAGTTCTGTAGCATGGTATCCTGGGGACCCGCCAGGGTGAAACATGAAATGGAGGCCTGTGGGTGTGGTGGTGGAGGTCTGGGAAACAGAGGTCATAGGGTCGCTTTCCAGCAGAGTTAAAGCTGATTTTATTTCAAGTCACATTCATTTGGCAATCTATATTTTCCTGAAAAACAGACCTTTTTGTCCCTCCCCTACTGAGCAAAGAGAATCTTCATCTCCTTAAAATGGTTGCGATCACAGCACTAAGTAGTGTGTGCTATAATTAGATGTGCAACAGTGGTTCAGAGAAGGAATTTTTTTCAATGTAATTGTGGGGGGTAGGGGGAGAGGGGAAATAATTTTAGTATGGTTCAGAGATTGAACTGTTAAAAAATGCCCCATATATGTTTGTAGCAAATAGGGTGAACCAATAAGAAAGTTTCTGATTTATTCTGTCATTTAAAAAATGAATTGGTATTTGGCCTCTTCTTTCTTTCCAATAACTCATGGCAATGTAGCCTTTTCTCCACACCTTGTATCTGCCTTTCACTCTGCCTCAGTTTTTAACCAGGTCACACTGAAAAGCACTTTCTTTCTCTATAATCTTTTGGAGAATGTCCTTCTCTGGCTGGATAATCGAGCACTTTAAAGTCAAGTTATTGGACAGTGGTGGCTAATGCTGATAAGTGGGAAGTGTCTCTGCCCTGACCTTTGAGCCTTCTTCTCAGCAGAGCATTGAAATGGTTATGGGGTCCTCCTTAGATGATTTCAGCAAGCAAAATATTCAGCACTAACTATCAATGCCGCCTTTCTGTTCAAAATTCTTTCAGTCCTCACTGAAGGAGTTGCTCTAATGTAGATTAAATAAATCACAGTCACCAATGCTGCCTGGCAAGGTGGAGAGGCGTAGGTTCAAAACTAAGACTGTTTTGGTGTTTAATATGTTGCTTGCTTTTAAAACATCACATGGTTTTTGCTTGGCACTCATTGTGTAGCTGGTTGGCAAGGGCAACAGAGGAAGGTTGGCCTCTGCTGATCCCTGAATCCCAAGAATAGAACTGCAGTTTAATATTATCAGCCTCATGGAAAGTAGAGACTTGGAAGTGTTTCCTTGTGGGCCAAACGTAAGGGAGTTTAGTAGTTTGGAATCTGGGAGAAGTAGCTTGCCAGACCCAAATGAACATGTTTTGGCCAAGGAAGCCTATCAGAGTTTTGCCGGTCCTCAAGGACTACTGCTATTCTTCTATTAAAAATCTCCTTCTTCCTATTAATTAATCTCTTGCTTTTTCTACCTTATTTGCTTAATCCATCAGACATTAAGTTCAATACCTAGTGATCATCTACTAGCAAAGCTGTCTCTTTTTCCCCCAAATGGAGGGAGAAGTGGTGGTCATCCACAAAACTCCACAGCCGTAGCTATCAGCACAAATCAGCGGCTGTCAAAAGATCCCATCTTGGCCAGGTAGAGTGGCTCACACCTGTAATCCCAGTGCTTTGGGAGGTCGAGGTGGAAAAATTGCATGAGGCCAGAGGTTCAAGACTCAACTGGGCAACATAGTAAGACCGCATTTCTACAAAAAATAAAAAATTAACAAGGCATGGTGGTGCATGCCTGTAGTCTCAGATACTCAGGAGGCTGAGACAGCAGGATCACTTGAGCTCAGGAGATCCAGGCTGCAGTGAGCTATGATTGTGCCACTGCATTCCTGCCTGTGCAACAGAGTAATACTCTGTCTCTAAGACAAAAAAAAAAAAAAAAAAAAAGGACTGTATTTTTACCCAAGGGATGTTGCATGGCATGTCCAGGTCTCTGTGGATCAGGCACCATCCGGAGGATTGGGAAGCACAGGTTGAATCTGTGTAGACAGTATAGGAAATGAGCATGGAGATTCCTCCATCCCCAATTGTTGGCAGCCAAAGCATCTCATTCACGCTCTTTCAGAAGGAAAAGAGATGTTTAAAATCAGTTGGATTCTCTAACAGCTGGAGGTATCAAAAGATCTACATTTTAGTCCTGGCAGTACTAGGAAGGAATGATGTGGCTAGGGGAAATTAATAAAATTTCTCAAGAATCTTACTTTCCCAGTAAACTGGAACTATATGATGTCTCAGTGCAGCTTCCAATTCCTGATTTTATACGGGAGAGTGTGTACCCTAGAGATGAGGAAGAAGAAATCAAAAGAGAAGTCCAATAAACTTTACAGCACAAAGTAGTAAATATCTGTATATCTGATAAATATACAAATATTGTAAGTAAAATTAAAAGTTGAATGTTCAAACATGTGACAAAAGATTAGTATCTTTATTAGGTAAAATGTAATTATTAAGAAAAATGGGTTAAAGACACAGACAAATAAGAAAAATATTGAAATATCTAATATAGAGGTGAAAATAATGTTCAAATTCATCAACAATTTAAAAACATAAAAGCAACAATATACTGTTTTTAGCCTCTAATTTGGCAAACATAAAAACATAATATTTGGTGATGGTAAGGATGCATGAAGGTAAGGACAGAGTTATTCTCCCTACCTTGGCTTTTTGAAAAATCATTGGTGATATTATAAATTGCTATATATTTTCTCCTAGATATTTTGTCAATAAGTTATTAAGCAATTCCATTTTCATGAATGTATCCTAGGGAAATAAACAATAGTTTGTAAAATATTTAGCTCTAGTCCTGTTAATTGTAGCAACTTCTTGAAAAGAAAAAACAAAATATTCAACCATTGGGGATTTATTGAATTAATTAAGGTTCATTTACATAATGGACTACCACATAATAAGTTAATAAGATAGTACATATTAAATGCTTCTCTTTTAATGAAAATATGTCTATAATGGACTGAGTGTGGTTGCTCATATCTATAATCCTAGCACTTTGGGAAACTGAGGCGGGCGGATCATTGAAGCCAGGAGTTCAAGATCAGCCTGGGCAACATGACAAAACCATGTGTCGACTGAAAATACAAAAATTAGCTGGGCGTGGTGGTGCATGCTTGTAATCCCAGCTACTTGGGTGGCTGAGGTATGAGAATTGCTTGAACTTGGAAGGTGGAGGTTGCAGTGCTCTGAGATCGTGCCACTGTACTCCAGCCTAGGTGACAAAGTGAGACTCTGCCTCAAAAAAAAAAAAAAAAAAAAGCTTACAATGTATTTTTATTTGGAAACAAATTATCAAATATTATACAAGATATTATCATTTTTATTAAAACAATTATGCATACATGTGAATATAGAGCCAAATGTGTTAGTTGTCAGTTTCCGTAGATACAAAGATTTATGGATTTATTTGCATTTTAATTTTTTCATCTGCATTTTCTGTAATGGGAATTTGTTGCCCTTGTACTAAAAAATTTCATTTAATCAATAAAAGACTTAGAATTCTGCAATTTTAGAGGAATGTATGGTTAAATAACTAACTTCTAAACTGGCACTTTGTATAGAATTGTGATAGTAGGGGTAGATTAAGGAAAAAAATCTGTAGTTATGATGTCAATAAAGGCAATATATTTTTGTTCAGATTGATATAATTGACACAGACATAATTGATGTTCATTTAATAATATAAAAAATACAACTGGACGCAGGTTGGCACTTGTGTTGCAGTCAGCTACGATCTTGCCACTGCACTCCAGCCCAGGCGGCAGAGTAAGACCCCATCTCTAAAAAAATAAAAACAAAACAAAAAGCACATGAACAAGTATTCCATGTCGAGTGTGAGGAGAAATAAGTTCCCAGGAGTCGCAAGTGTTTTCAGGTATGCAGAACAATTGCATAGGAGCAGCAAAATGAAAAACACTTTATTGGATTAGATTCTAAATAAATAAAAAGTATCATGTAGTAAAATGTATATGCAGTATTAATATTAATATTGTAAATGCTCTGGGAGTTTCAGAAGCATATACTTCATAATGTTTATTTAAGTTTGTCTCTATTTGAGAGCAAACACATATATTGGAAGGAATTTAACTGATATAAATCCACTGTGTCTACAAAGCAAAACAGTGGTTGCCTCTCACAGTCTAATAACATTTATCTATGTAGATTAACAAATCACTTCAAAATATTCACTGAAGACTTCAACTATCCAGTCCAGCCTACTTTTCTTTTTTAACAATAGCAATTTTTACTTATTTTAAAATCTTTTTTGAGAGTTTTCAACTTGCTTTTTTATAACCACATCCATCTCCCTTTTGCCGCTGGACCCCACCCCAACCCTATCTCTAACCTTTCCCAACCACTAATCTGTTCTCCATTTCTAAAATTTTACCATTTCAAAATGTTCTATAGATGGAATCATACAGTATGTAACTTTTACAAATCATATTTTTTTCCCCTCAGCATAATGCTCTGTAGATTCATCCAAGTTGTTGTGTATATCAATAGTTGGTTCCTTTTTTTTTGTTAAGTGATATCCCGTGTGTATTAGTCAGGGTTCTCTAGAGGGACAGGACTAATAGGATCGATGTATATATGAAAGGGAGTTTATTAAAGACTATTGACTCACACGATCACAAAATGAAGTCCCACAATAGGCCATCTGCAAGCTGAGGAACAAGGAAGTCAGTACGAGTCCCAAAACCTAAAAGTAGGGAAGCCAACAGTGCAGCCTTAATTGTGCAGCCAAAGGCCTGAGAGCCCCTGGCAAACCACTGGTGCAGGTCCAAGAATCAAAAAGCTGAAGAACTTGGAGTCTGATGTTCCAGGGCAGGAAGCATCCAGCACAGGAGAAAGATGGAGGCCAGAAGACTCAGCCAGTCTTGTCCTTCCATGTTCCTCTGCTTGCTTTTGTCCTAGCCACACTGGCAGCTGATTAGATGGTGCCCACCCAGATTGAGGGTGGGTCTGCCTCTCCTAGTTCACCAACTCAAATATTAATCTCCAAGTTTGGTAACACCCTCACAGACACATCCAGGAACACTAGTTTGCATCCTTCAATCAATCAAGTTTACACTCAGTATTAACCATCACACCATAGAATCCATGTATCACAGTTTTTTTTTTGTTGTTGTTATTTGTTTTGTTTTTGTTTTTTGAGACGGAGTTTCGCTCTTGTTGCCCAGGCTGGAGTGCAATGGCGCGATCTCGGCTTACCGCAGCCTCTGCCTCCCGATTTCAAGCGATTCTCCTGCCTCAGCCTCTCGAGTAGCTGGGATTACAGGCATGCACCATCACGCCCAGCTAATTTTTGTATTTTTAGTAGAGACCGAGTTTCTCCATGTTGGTCAGGCTGATCTCGAATTCCCGACCTCAGGTGATCCGCCCACTTCGGCCTCCCAAAGTGCTAGGATTACACGCATGAGCCACCATGCCCAGCCTACAGTTTGTTTGACAATTCACCTGTTTAAGGGCCTTTGCTCCTTTCCAGTTTTTGGTTATTATAATTAAAGCTTCTATGATCATTCATGTACAGGTTTTTATGTGACATAGGTTTTTGTTTCTTTGGGATAAAAGTCCAAGTTAATTGTTTAGATTGGTGAAACCACCCAACTGGTTTCCACAACAAGTGTACCATTTTACATTCCCTCCAGGAATGTATGAGTGGTCCAGTTTCTTCTTCAAGTGGCAGTTGGTGTCACTATTTTTTATTTTAACCATTCTGATAGTTGTACAGTGACTTCTCATTGTTTTAATTTGTATTTCCCTGATGGCTGATGATGGTGAAACTTTTTCATGTGCTTGTTACCAATATACCTCTTCAGTTAAATGTCTGTTCATGCTGCTTACCCCTTTTCTAATTGGACTTTAAAAACATTGTTGAATTTTGAGAGTTCTTTATATCTCCTAAGTACTAGTCCTTGACTAGATATGTAGTTTGCATGTATATTACCTGCATTTGTAGATTATCTTTTCACATGCATCACAGCAGATCAAAAGTTTTAAATTTTATGAGATTCAAATTATTTTGTCTTTTTATAAAATGTGCTTTTGGTGTCAAGACTAAGAACTCTTCGCTTAACCCTAAATCCTGAAGATTTTCTTTTATTTATTTTTCCAAAAATTTTCCAGTTTATGCTTTACATTTAAGATCATGAACCAGTTTTAGTTAATTTTTGTCTAAGGTGTGAGGTTTAGGTCGATGTTCATTTTTTTTTGCTTATGGATGTCCAATTGCTCTGGTGCCGTTTCTTGAAAAGGCTGTCCTTTCCCCATTGAATTGCTTTTGTGCTTTTGTAAAAAAAAACAAAATAATTAAAACAGCTGACTGTATTTATATGGATCTATTTCTGGGTTCTCCATTATGTTCCATTGATCAATGTCTTTCTCCTTCTGCCTATATCACATTGTTTTGATTACTGTAGGTCTACAATAAATTATAAAATTGTATATTAATTTCCCAGGACTGTTGTAACAAATTACCACAAGTTTGGGAACTTAAAATACAGAAATTTATTTTCTCACAGTCTGGAGGCCAGAAGTTGGAAGTTAAGTGGAGGCGGGGCTTCATTCTCTCTGGAGGCTCTAGGGAGAATCTTCCTTTTCCTCTTAAGCTTCTGGTGGCTGTTGGCAATTCTTGGCTTCCTTGGCTTCCTTCAATTTCCGCCTCTGTCTTCATGTCAGCTCCATCTCTGTGTATGTTTTCTTATCTGTATATCTGTCCCCAAACTCCTTCTGCCCCTCTATTATAAGGATACATGTGATTTTATGGCTCACCTACATAATTCAAGATAAATGCTTTCTCTCAAGATTCTTAATCACATATTTTGCGATATAAGGTAGTATTAACTCCTTTGCCATATGTGATGGTTAATATTGAGTGTCAACTTGATTGGATTGTAAGATGCAAGGTATTGTTCCTGGGTGTGTCTGTGATAGTGTTGCCAAAGGAGATTAACATTTGAGTCAGTGGACTGAGAGGGGCACCCTCAATCTGGGTAGGCGCCATCTAATCAGCTGCCAGCACGGCTAGAATAAAACAGGCAGAATAACATGGAAGCACTTGACTTGCTGAGTCTTCTACTCTTTATCTTTTTCCCATGCTGGATGCTTCCTGTCCTGGAACATCGGACTCCAAGTTCTTCAGCTTTTGGACTCTTGGACTTACAATAGTGGTTTGCCAGGGGCTCTCAGGCCTTTGGCCACAGACTGAAGGCTACTTTTGAGGTTTTGAGACTTGGACTGATCCACCACTGGCTTCCTTGCTCCTCAACTTGCAGACGGCCTATCATGGGACTTTACCTTGTGATCCTGTGAGTCTAGTCCCTTTAATAAACTCCCTTTCATATATACATATATCCTATTAGTTCTGTCCCTCTAGACAACCCTGACTATATAAGACACCATGTAAGACAATATTCAGAGATTCCAGGGATAAGAATGGGGACATATATTTTGGAGGGCTAATATTTAGCCTACTACAATTGGATAGAGTAATTCCTCCTGCTTCATTCTTCTTTATCAAATTATTGATTGTTTTAGTGCTTTTAGGGCCTGTGCCTTTTCACATACATTTTAGAATAAACATTTCTTTGTCTTGCCTTGTGGCAATGGCTAGAGCTTTCAGTACTACGTTGAGTAAGAGTGGTAAAAGTGGACGCCCTTGCCTTGTTCCCGATTTTATTAAGAAAGCATTCTTTTTTTTTTTTTTTTTTTTTTTTTTTTTTACCATTAAGTGATGTTACCTTTAAGTTTTGTAGATGGATTTTATGAAGTTGAAATATGTTTTGTACTTCTAACTTGCTGAAAGTTTTGTCATGAATTGGTGTTAGATTTTTGTCAAATGCTTTTCCTGCAACAATTGATATGACTATATGAGTTTTTTTAGATGGTTGACATATATGGATTACACTGACTGATTTTCAAATGTTGGACAAGCCTTGCTTACCCAGAATCAACCTCTGTTGGTCACAAGTATAAATTTTTTTATGAATTCTTGGATTCAAGATTCTATTATTTTTTGAGGATTTTTGTATTGATATTTATAAAAGCTGTTGGTTTGTAGTTTTCTCCTTTTTCACTGTCTTTGTTTTTGGTAAGTATTTTATCTTGATTGAGTTTTAGCAGTTTGTGTTTTTCAATTAATTGGCCCATTTCTTCTAAGATATTAAATTTATGAGCATAAAATTGAGATATTCCCTAATTATCTTTTTAATGATGGCAAAATATGTAATATCTTATATTTCATTCTTGATATTAATGATTTTTCTTATCTCTTTCATTTTCTTAAGTTTTGTCTTGTTTTTGAGTGATGGACATAATTACATATATTTTATTTCTGTCAATATTACTATGATTTTATTAACTTTATTGACATTTTAAGAACTACTTTTTGTTTAATTGGTTTCCTTTATTGTCTTTCCATTTTCAATTTTATTGATTTCTGACATTTCTTTATTTCCCTTCTTCCACTTGTTTTGGGTTCATTTTGTTTCTTTTAGGAAAGAACTTAGATTAATTTATTTAGAAATGTGTTATTTAATTTTTACATATTTGGTGATTCTGCTGTTGTCTGTGTTATTTATTTCATGATAATCAGGGAACATACTCTGTATAATTTCAATTCCTTTTTTGGGTCGGGTTTGTTTTATGAAGCAAGATATTGTAACTGTAATAGGTTACTTACAATAGGCAAGTCAATATGCCAAGACACCAGGTTGCAACAGAGAAAGTAGTTTGATTGTAGGGCCATTGAATGAGGAGATAGGAGGAAACCTCAAGTTCAGGGAGTTTGGGGCTAGGATTTTTAAGGGTTTTGGAGTGGGCCAAAGTGTGAAAATTGTTGATTGGTCAAAGGATGAAGTCATGGGACAGGGAGATGAAGAAACTGTATTCTTAGGCTGATTTGGTTCCTCTGTGGGGGCGTCTTTAAACTGGTTAATGTCAGCTGTTCTGCTGAAATTCAAGATCTGCTTAGGCAATTCTTAAACTAAAGCCTTATGATTCCAATGTCAGAATCCTATATATAGGAACAGTGGGGATGCAAATGGTCCATATCTAGTGTTATTTGACTTTCAGTTACGAGGAAATAGGTCTGTTATAGTAGGCACCTAGGCAGACATGAGCAGGGCAGGAGAGACATCCCAACCTTGCGAATGTCAGGTGACCATCAGGTAATGGTCAGGTGGATGTTAAACTGTCTCTCTAAAATAATAATTGGTAGCAGCCAGCACCAGGGAAAGGCAGGTTCCCAATAAATAGAAAACACCTGAAGCTGGTGATCAGCGCTTCCTGACAAAATCCCAGGAGCTGGGTGAGTGGGCTCAAGCATATGCACTAAGAGATAAAATGACAGAGTTCAACTAGTATATAACCTTCCTCTAGAACACTTAACTGGTAAGGGAAAAATGCCTCAAGTAAGCATGCACACAGCTCCAGTAAACATATTGTGCATGTGGCTCCTCCCAAGTGCTGGCAGGCTACTGTGCATGTGGACAGCCTGCTTCAAGAGAAGAATCAGGGGAAAAGAAATGTAAACCTTGGAACCATGCCACAGTATAAAACCCTAAGTCAAGGGTCAGATGAAGCACTTGGATCTCTCATGTCGCCCACTTGGCCCTCTTCCAAGAGTACTTTACTTCCGTTTGTTTTTGCTCTAAAACTTTTTATTAAACTTTCACTCCTGCTCTAAAACTTGCCTTGGCTACCCTCTGCCTTAAAACTACTTCTGCTCCTCTGCCAAATTCTTTCCTTCAAGGAGGCAAGAATCTATTTGCTGCAGACCTGTATGGATTCACTGCTGATAACGGGTCAACATACAGCCTGATTAATGCTTAATTAGAGCTATATTTCTGTAGCTATTTAACCCTGTGAGGATGGCTTCAATATTGTCTAAGTTGGTGATTCTTCCATGGGTGCTTGAAAAAAATATGTATTCTGCTGTCATTGGGGTGAATGGTTCTATATATGTTCATAAGATTCTGTTGGTTGATTTTGTTATTTGGATCTCCTATATCCTCGCTGAGTTTCTGTCTGGTAATTCTATCATTTTTGAGAGGAGGGTGTTGAGATCCCCAGCGACAATTGTGGATTTGTCTGTTTCTCCATTCAGCCTTATCAGTTTTTGCTTTTCCCTCTTGTTCTTCTTCCTCTGTTTCTCTTTTTTGCTTTCTTGTGGGTTACTTGGATAATTTTTTTTAGGATATCATCTTGATTTATTTGCAGTGTTTTTGAATATAAGTCTTTGTATAGTTTTCACAGTGGTTGCTTTGGGTATTATGATTTGCAAATGTGGCTGATCACAATCTATTGATATGGAAAGCAGAATGTTCCCTTTCCTGGAAGATGTCTGCTTCCTAGTCTTCAAAACTATGAATACTTTATGTGGCAAAAGGGACTTTGTGAATGTAATTAGATAAGAATCTTGAGGAAGGATGATTATCCTGGTTGCTCTGGGTGGTCCAATGTAATCACAGGATTTTTACAAGAGGGAAGCAGAGATACATAGAAGTGATATGATGATGGAAGCAGAAGTGGGAAAGTCACAGAAGAGATCTGGAGATACGCAGCTGGCTTTGAAAATGGAGGAAGGGGCTACAAGCCAAAGAATGCAATTGCTTCCTAGAAATTTTGTCTCTTATATTACGAGTCTCTGGATCCTCATTAAATCTTTTATTTTAGCAAGCTGTCAGTCTGTTTAGCATTCAGATCCTAGCCTACTTTTTGAGGTTGTTAATAAAATGACAGCTTAATTTTTACAGGCTTGCAGTGCTATTTTGGTTGGCTTGATTTTTCTTTCGCTGCTGGGGCTCCCACTAGTACTTGCTGGTGCTGGATGAGAGGATAGAAGAAGTTTCCCCAGGCTGGGCTTCCAGGTGTCTCTTAGATGGGGAGGGTAGTCTTATGCCTGTGGGGGTCCCAGGGGCTTCCTGCACTGCACCTCTTGCTATACCTGTGTCCCTCTTCCAGACTGCCTGACTATCTCTGGTATCTCTCAGTGAGGGAGAAGAGCCTGAGGCCCAGTGAAAAAAGAGTGGATTCTCTCCTGGGCTGCTTGTTAGTGAGGCTCCTGGTGGATCCCACCTTGCCTGTTCTTCTGGGTTTGCCTAATGTTGGAAAGGCTCCCATTCAGTCAGGGGATGGAAGGAGCCTACCCAGGCTAGTTTAGTTGTTGGTTGGGGTTCTGAAAATGCTAGGTCTTGGTGACTTTCAAGTTCTGTTGGGGAGGAGGGTAGGCATGCAACACCCTGCTACAATGTCGATCTCCCAGTTGTTATTGGACCAACAGTTTCATATTCCTGCTGCACAGTAAGAGATCAATACACTGACACAGCAGGGTTTGTAGCAGAGAAAGTTTAATGATTGCAGAGCACTGAATGAGGAGATGGGAGGATACCCTCAAATCCATCTCCATGAGGAGTTCTGGGCTGGAGTTTTTAAGAGAATCATGGAGAGCGAGGGGCTGGAAAACTGGAGTCATTGATTGGTCAGAGTAAGGGGAATGAAATCATCAGGATGTGGCAACTGCATTTATTGGTTAGTCAGTTTCTCACGACGTCCTTCTGACCAGTGGATGTCAGTAGTTTTGCTGGTACACAGGACCTGAAAGAATGTCTCCAGTGGAAAACTTAACATTTCATAATGCCGAAGTTGTTATCTGTAGAGCAGTTAAGGGAACCATAATGTAGGGTCTATGTGATTCTAAGGCAACAGGCAAACAACTACAAGAAAGCAGGTCAGAGAGTGAGCTGACCTACTGATTAGTACTGAGTGTGATGTAGGCTGGGCTTATTTTTGTTTTTCTCCCTTATTGGGGGAACCTGCCCCCAATATTTCAATGTAGGTTCTTTCTATTTTCCCTAAGTGTTGGCCGGTCTGAGAAATAAAGAGAAAAAGTACAAAGAGAGGAATTTTACAGCTGGGCCTCCAGGGGTGACATCACATATTGGTAGGACCATGATTTCCCCCGAGCTGCAAAACCAGCGGGTTTTTATTAAGGACTTTAAAAGGGGAGGGGGTGTATGAACAAGGAGTAGGTCACAAAGATCACATGCTTCTGAGGCCAATAAAGATCACAAAGCAAAGGGCAAAGCAAGGATTACAAGGTAAGGGCAAAATTAGAATTACTGATGAGGGTCTATGTTCAGCTCTGCACGTATTGTCTGGATAAACATCTTAAACAACAGAAAACAGGGTTCAAGAGCAGAGAACCGGTCTGACCTCAATTTCACCCGGGTGGGGTTTTTCCCCACCCTAGTGAGCCTGAGGTACTGCAGGAGACCAGGGCATATTTCAGTCCTTATGTCAACCGCATAAGACAGACAGTCCCAGAGTGGCCGTTTATAGACCTCCCCACAGGAATGCATTAATTCCTTCCCCAGGGTATTAATTATTAATATTCCTTGCTGGGAAAAGAATTCAGCGATATCTCTCCTACTTGCACGTCTGTTTATAGGCTCTCTGCAAGAAGAAAAATATGGGTCTATTCTGCCCGACCCCGCAGGCAGTCAGACCTTGTGGTTGTGTTCCCTTGTTCACTGAAAATCGCTGTTATTTTGTTCTTTTTCAAGGTGCACTGACTTCATATTGTTCAAACACACATGTTTTACAATCAATTTGTACAATAGTCGTCCTGAGTGACGTACATTCTCAGCTTACGAAGATAACAGGATTAAGAGATTAAAATAAAGACAGGCATAAGAAATTATAAGAGTATTATTTGGGAACTGATAAGTGTCCATGAAATCTTCACAATTTATGTTCAGAGATTGCAGTAAAGACAGGCATAAGAAATTATGAAAGCATTAATTTTGGGGAACTGATAAATATCCATGAAATCTTCACAATTTATGTTCCTCTGCTGCGGCTCCAGCCGGTCCCTCTGTTCGGGGTCCCTGATTTCCCGCAATACTCCCTTCCTTCTTCCCTGATTAATTTTATAAAGTTTATAGGTGCAGTTTCATAGTCTTGGGATTCCAAACAAGTTTGCCTTCTTCTTACTACCTTTCAGAGTTCTCCTTTGGTTGCTTTTGCATTATGTCCAGAGTTTATATTACCTAGTGGGAAGAAACAGGGAGAGAAGGGTCTGTGCCTTCTTGTCCAGACTGCAGGTCACTGTTCAACTTTGATAACGCCAAGTTGCTTTTGCTCATGACCTAAAAGAAGGACTAGTGTACCTGAGGAGCTGGAAGAAGGCATCTGAAAAACAATGAACTAATGCGTATGGAGTGAGATGAGGTTGGCAAAGTAGGAAGGGTCAGGTCATGCAAAAACAATGCAGATCATGTTAAGGAGTTTGGATTTCATTCTAGGTGCAATGGGAAACCATGTAAAGTTTTAAGCAATGGAATAACTTGATCCATTTTAAATTTTAGAATGATCATTTCAGTTTCAATGTGGAAAAGAGACGTCAGAGCTTATGAGTGGAAATACTGAGACATAAAACTATTGTCTACTAGAGTGAGACACAATGGCTACTGAACAAAGGTAGAGCTGGAGAGAAGTAAAACGATTAGTGACAGATTTTGGAGGTATTACCTGTAGATTTTGGGGTGGATTGACCATGAAATGTAAGTGAAAGAGACATATCACACATGCCTCTCAAAGCTCTGGCTTAATGAACCTGTGGGTGAGGACAGACAGGAGAAGGAGTGGGGTGAGAGGTATATCAATGGTTGATTTTGAGATAAATTTTACATATTAAAATAGAGATGCCAAGTAGATGCTTATAAATATCAGCCCTCAAGCTCAGAAGAGAAGAATGGACTAGAAATACAAATGCAGAGAATATCAGATCATAGGTAATAGGAAAACTGTGGGAACGGATAAGATCACCTTGGAGAAAATATAGAGTAAGAAGAGTAGAGTTCTCAGTTCAGAGCCCTGAGGCAAACCAACATTTGGTTGTCAGAGAGGAGGAATGTGCCAAAGAAAATAAGTAGCAGCAGCCAGAAAGAGATAGGAAGAAAGCCAAGAAACATTTCCCATCTTTGTAAGAATTTCTTTCACATTCTCATCACATTAATCACCCGTAAGGATGCTAAACTAAGCAGAAAGTCACAAACACACTCCTCCACATATTGTAATCAAGTTCCCTAATTATTCAATTACTTTATTGCCAATTCACATTAAGAAATTATCTGTAGGAGAAATTTCTATATGCACACAAACACACACAAAAATCTGGAAGATAATATAAAAATATTAGCAGAGATTATATCTGATGATAGAATTATGGATGTTTTTATTTTCTTCGTTTCATTTTTCTAAATTTTTAATTTTTTCTATAATAGGCTCATCAGAAGAATTATCTGAATTCTTTTTTTGAGGGGGGAGAAACTATGTTCTATTATTTGGAACAAGGGAAATTAATCTGAGTGTTATGGCATACCATGATTCTATGACACATCTCAACTGGTTCTTTGAGTTAAATATATACAATTTATTTTCCTCTGTGATCCTCAGGGCTCTTTCCTTACAGAAGAGTACATGGTTCTCTGTAAATAATAATGGGAGACCATGAAGCATTAAGAATATGAAACTTTAAGTTATCTGTGTTTGAATTCTATCTCTGCTGCTTCATATCTTTGTTGCAAGGGATATGCTGTAAAATGGGACTATTAATGTATATGTTTTGAAGAGTAATCAGAGGATCAAAATTAGATAAAATAGATAAATGGCACAGTCCACTTTTTGACACATGGTAAGTTGTAGATATGTGGTAATTGTTAATATTGCAGGCTATGGAGAGAGACAGCCTAGGTTTGAAATTTGTTCATCATTTACCAAATGTGTCATCTTCTGCAAATTACTCAACCTCTGTATGCTGCATCTTCCTTGAATGACAAATGAAGGTCTTAATAGCATCTATCACAATAGTATCTATTACTTAATAGTATCTATCACAATGGTATCTATGACAAGGGTTTTATGAAATAATATATGTACAGCATTTAGAATAGTATGAGGAGTATTCACAAGTACTCAACAAACAGCATTTTGCATATTTCTGCTATGATTAAGTTTCTGTAAATTAAGTGGTTATATTTTAAACTCCTTAAGGAGCAGGAACCAGGACTTGCCCTTTTTTATACACAATGACTCATGTGCTCAAAAATGTTTATAATTTAGGATTGTCATTCCAAATATTAATTCCCATGACATAAGACTACAGTTGGAGCTCTCTTAATGTATCTTCGCTTAACTGTCTCACTAGGTTAACTGATGCTCTCATTCTCTTTTGGTGCATAAAGAATCATGCCCAGGTGAGCATTCCTTGTACACTTCAGGCAACTATTTTTATGTATATTAGCACATTTCTGCTTCTAATAGTAGAGTTTTATTACCAAGAGACTTGTGTTTATTTCCAAACCAGTTAATTCCAAGGGTGATTTTGACAGTGGCATAATTTATTTAGATATGGAATATATTGTTCAACTTTGAGTGTGAAAGGAAAAAGCCATGTTTCTTATGAAAATTAAGTTCAATGTTTTGGAAAAACTTGATAAGAATGAGTTCCTGGCCGGGAGCGGTGGCTCACGCCTATAATCCCAGCACTTTGGGAGGCCGAGGTGGGTGGATCACCTGAGGTCAGGAGTTTGAGACCAGCCTGGCCAACATGGTGAAACCCCGTGTCTACTAAAAATACAAAAAAATTAGCTAGGCATGGCGACAGATGCCTGTAATCCCAGCTACTTAGAAGGCTGAGGCAGGACAATCGCTTGAACCCGGGAGGCAGAGGTTGCAGTGAGCCAAGATTGTGCCACTGCACTCCAGTCTGGGCAACAAGAGTGAAACTCCATCACAAAACAAAACAAAACAAAACAAAAAAGAGTTCCTAAAACTTGCTGTCAAATTAGATATGGGCAATGCAACAGAAAGATATTGGGAAATCTATCTACGCTCATATTGCCTTATAGAATAGATTCTCTTTCCTTTCTAAGAAATGCAAACTAGAAATCATAGACAATGGATAATGGATATGATTTATGTGGGTGATTTATGGAGGTACGTGTCTCCATCAGTGGACCTATACTCATGTCTTTGCCCAACATCTGAAGATTGGTATGTATGTATATATTCCAAGTTAAAATGAAATATTTAATTAAGGCTTGTATTCATCCATTTTTAATGACATTTGCGGGCTTTAATCAACAAATATTCATCCTGAAGGTGAAAGAATAAGTGGTCTCCTAACATACTTAGATGGATTGAGCAGAAATTAACTGAATATCTACTAACTTGGGATCCCATGATAATCACTTGCTAATGTTAAGATTTTGAGCAGGTTACTTATCCTCTTGAACCTGAGTTCTTCATTTGTAACAGGTAATTTTTTATTAATGAGGTTTTTTTTTTATTAAAAGAGATCATATATACATAGCAGGGTTTTTGGAAGGGAACGAGTGCTTAAAAATGTGTTTTCTATATTCTGATGACTACTAAATCTTTTATTTTCGACCTTGACCTCTCCTAAGCCCTGTACCCATATTTCCAGCTACATCTCCTTAAGACACCTTCACCATTCTCTCAGACTGAGTTTCAAACTGTTATCAACACATTACTTTTTATTCTATCTAATAACTCATTCCTACAAAAACTTGTGACCACATATGTTTGAATTTGAATTTTAGAAATGTCTCTCTCTATTCTCTTCTTTTTCCTTCATTAATATTCCCTCCTTTCTTCCTTTCTCCTTTCCTTCCTTCCTAATTGCTCCAGTCTATTTAGTTTAGTGAGATGTATCTTATTTTTATTATTCCAACATGAGTTTAAGTGAAACTTATTTCTATTTACTTAAATAACATTTGCAGTTATTCCTTTAGTTCAAGACTTCATTACTTTTCATAGTACATTCCAATCTCTCTCTCCTCTCTTAGTATGTCCACTGCTGATATTATCTTCCCAGGAAACAAATCTGATCTGCCCGCCGCCCCCCCCACCCACACACACACATGCACACACACACTTAGACACTCATGCCTTGTCATTACATCCAAGTTGAGATCCAGTCCCCTTAGCTTTGCATATAAGCCCATCGCAATCCTGCTGGAACCACTTTCTATAGATTCAGCTCCTGATCCTTCCAACCAGAGTCACCTTCCTGCTGTTCATGATTCTATACTGTCCTTGTGTTTATTCTGGTGCTTATATCATGCCGTCTTTTGGAGTTCCCATTCGAGTGGATTAACATTTTCTGTCCAGGAATTCTTCCCACTCCCAAATGTACAGCATTGAAAGTATCTGGGTGATTTTGGAGGCTAAAGCCATATCTCTGTCATTCTCTGTGTACACACACAGCTGGTTATTTGCACATTTGTGGGCAGAATGTAATCTTACCAGAGTTCTCTTAGGTTGACTTGGTGTCTTCTCCCTAATTACTCCACACAGGGCCTCAAGTGAGAATAACAGCTGGTTATGCAATTAAAACCTTTGGGCCGTGAGTGAAGAGCTCAGACAGGATGACTGGAAGGGCATAGTGTATAACTTACTCATTGGTTTAATAAGATGGAAAGTGTTTGGCTGCTCAGTTATGCAATTCATTTTAACTTGAATGGAGAAATCAAATTAACTGCAGGCAGGTATTATAAGAGCTGACAGCTCCGACATCCTCAGTGTTCCATGAAACCGGGAGATTGTCCTTGTAGAGGCACAGGTCTGCTTTTTCTCCTTTCTTTTTCTCAGGACATTTCTACATGCTAAAATAAATGTTCAATTTATATTTTTTAGTAGCTAAAGGGATATTTTGATTTTGGCTGTATCAACTGCAGAATTTGCAACAAATTAATGAGAACCTCAGTGGCAGAAGCTAAAAAAGTAGTCCCCTGAACCATTACTGTACCGATCAGTGTTCTAAATTGCTGGATATCTTGGCAAAAAAAGAGCAGAGATATATGAACGTGGTGTTTCCATCTCATTTAGACTCATTCAGATAATTTTTGATTCATGTTTCTCAGAAAAATAGATTGTCCATGTTTTCTAACATTACTTTGATAAAGACTGGTACAGCGGATTTGCTTTCTAATGGCTCATATGATAAGAAGAAAATAAAGAACAAATTTAAGTTCCTTTAAAGAGATTTTTTATTTTACCTTTTCAATGATTTAGGATGTTTTCTTAAAAGCTTCAACACATGGGCTAGAGATAGAGAATCCAAAAATTAATAGTATAAATTAATATTGGCAAGTTTAATATTCAAAGCTTCTTGAAAACATGCATTTCAAGTTATGACTACATGGAAATGCCACCCTTTCTTAATTTGTTGGGTGCATAGTTTAAGGGAGCAAGTAAATAGAAGCAGGAGAAAAATAATTACAGAAAAATTAAACCACTTTGCACAATCATTCTAATCATTGAAACATTTTATGTTGGTATAAGTGTACTGAAATATATGCATTTTAATGCCTAATTAAATCTTCTATATATGTGTTGTGCAAAACACATCAACTAAATATATGTTTATTTCTACCCTCTTCCCCCTCAATGTGAGGCTACTAAAGGGCAGGGATCACATGTTTGTCATCTCAGTAATCTCAATTCCTTATCAAGATCCAGCTCATTGTATGTTATTCATACCTTTTATAAGGAAATTAATTTTATAAGCACTTAAGTAATATCTATTATATGCCATGCATTAGTCTAAGCACTCTCTACATTAGTTAAAATATTAGCCATTTTTATCCTTGTAAGTATTAGTATCAGTTACCTATTGCTGTGTAACAAATAATCCCACAATTTAGTGGCTTAAAGAATCAAGAGAGATTATCTTACACACAGTTTCTGAGGGTCAGAAAATTGGGAGCACCTAGATAGGTAATTCTGATTTCCTGGTCCCTCATGAGGTTGAAGTGAAGATGTTGGTTATGACTGTAGTCATCTGAAGGCCTGACCAGGGCTGGAGGATCTGCTTCCAAGGTGACTCACACAGTCACATACATGGCCGAAAACTTAGCGCTGGTTGTTGACAAGAGGTCTCAGTTCTTACTATGTGAACCTCTCCTTAGGGCTACTGGCAGCTGACTTCCTCCAGAGAGTGGATGATCTAAGAAAGGAAAATGGAAGATACGATACTTTTTTGACCTAGCTTTAGAAGTCGTACTCTGTCACTTTTGCAATCTATTGGTTACGTAAGTCAGTCTATTCTATGTGAGAGGTACTGTGCAAGAGCATGAACAGCAGGATATAGTGGTCACTGGGGGCCACCTTGGAGGCTGTCTACCACAACAGGTGTATAAAATATGCGCTTTCATTATACCCATGTTACAGTTGGGAAAAATGAGGCACAGAAAGGTTAAGTAATTCGTCTTATGGTGAGGATTAAATGAGATCTCACATACAACACACGTGCAAGATGTAGAACATTATATGGAACATGCTAAGCATTCAAATATTGCTGTTATTTTTCTCTAAAAGCCAAAATTATTGCCCTTGGTGTTTGTTTTTAAATGTCAATGGGTCAAGATGGCCAGCTATGGGTTCCATTTTATGGAAACACATTTTGCAGCTATTGAGAGGGAAAGCTGGCATGTGATGTGTATTAGTGTCCTATTCCTGCTGTAACGAATTAGCACAAACTTAGTGGCTTGGCCTAGTGGCTTAAAACACAAATTTATTATCTTACAGTTTTACAGGTCAGAAGCTTGACCTAAGTCTTACTAAACAAAAATCAAGATGTTGGTAGGGCTACATTTATTCTGAAGGCTCTAGAAGAGAATCCATTTTCTTGCCCTTTTCCGCCTTTTGAGATTGCCTGAATTCCTTCTCTCATGGAGCCCATCCTCCATCTTCAAAGCCAGCAGGGTAGCATTTTCCAATTTCGCTCTCTCTCTGACTTCTGCTTCTGTCACTGCATCTCCTTTGCAGTTTCTGCTTCTGTGGTCATGTTGCCTTGTCTACTTTCCCTGTCCTCTGAGTCTCTCTCTTATAAGGACCCTTGTGTTTACATTGGGTCCACTTAGATAATATACGATAACCTCCTCATCTCAAGAGCCTTAACTCAATCACACCTGCAAAGTCCCTTTCATCATGTAAGGTAACATTCACAGGTTCCAGGGATTTGAATATGCATATATTTGGGAGACCAGTCATTATCCAGCTTACTACATGATGAGTGCTTAGTTTTAACTTGAATCAAAGTTTTTGAAAAAGAATACTTGTGTTATGGTCACTGAACTATCTCAGGCAAGAGGAGGAATTGAATCTATCTGCCTCTCTCTCTCGGGGTGATTTCAAGGTTTAATCTCTTCATATCCTGAGAATGATTCATGCCTCCTCTTGCAATGCATTGTAGGAAGCAAGACTGTAGCAGAAGCCACACCAGGATAAGTATCAGAGTCTGAGTTCTTGTAGATATTCTGCCGTCTTCTAGCTGTGGTACCTTGAGCAAATCACTTAGCATTAGAATGGTGATCATTAAAAAGTCAGGAAGCAACAGATGCTGGAGAGGATGTGGAGAAATAGGAACACTTTTACACTGTTGATGGGAGTGTAAATTAGTTCAGCCATTGTGGAAGACAGTGTGGCAATTCCTCAAGGATCTAGAACTAGAAATATTTGACCCAGCAATCCCATTACTGGGTATATACCCAAGGGATTATAAATCATTTTACTATAAAGACACATGCACATGTATGTTTATTATGGCACTATTCACAATAGCAAAGACTTGAAACCAACCCAAATGCCCATCAGTGATAGACTGGATAAAGAAAATGTGGCACATATACACTATGGAATACTATGCAGCCATAAAAAAGGATGAGTTCATGTCCTTTGTAGGGACATGGATGAAGCTGGAAATGATCATTCTCAGCAAACTAACACAAGAACAGAAAACCAAACATCACATGTTCTCACTCATAAGCGGGAGCTGAACAATGAGAACACACGGACACAGGGAGAGGAACATGACACACCAGGGCCTGTTGGGGAGTTGGGGGCTAGGGGAGTTATAGCATTGGGAGAAATACCTAATGTAGATGACAGGTTGATGGCTGCAGCAAACCACCATGGCACATGTATACCTATGTAACAAAACTGCACGTTCTGCTCATGTAACCCAGAACTTAAAGTATATTAAAAAAATAGCATTGTGTATCTGTTAAGGGATAAAGAGTCAACATCCATAAACAAATATCTAAATAATGTGACCAAAAATACCTGCCTTGCCTACTTGACAGATTGCTGTGTTCATCAGTTGAATAATATGAAAGGACATGTTTTGAAAGATGTAAAAAGCCAAACAAACATAAGATCTCATTGGCATCCTTGCCGCCAGTGATCTGAGCCCCCCACAAATGAAGCTAGCATAGTTGTGAACATGAAAACAAACAAACTCAGACATTCTGAGGGTCTCTGTGAGTGCTCAGGACTATGACGGGAATGTTTTTTATCCCATGCCTTTGGGAGTTACATCATTTCCTCACTCTGTAGAGTGAGATGGAAAATGAGAGAGATTTTCTAACCAAACGACATTTAGACCCCTTGTAATCTTCCATGCTCAAATGAAAACAAAGCCTTTAATTTGTGAATGTGGGCTTAAATATCATGTTAACCAAGTTAATATGTTATTAAATGACTTTTATATGTCAATTGGGGAGGTAATTAAGTGTTGAATATTCTTCAGAATTTGTTTTTTATTCACTTATCCCAGGTATGTTTTACAAATAGGCCTTTTGGGGCCAAAGGAGATATGTTAGGTGAGTGGATGACCACAAATGAGGGGGAAGACATCCTCAATGATGACTGCATAATATTCATGTCATTCTTGCTTCATGAAAAGTTCTCTGAGTTGCTTTGTGTGAGGCTGTATCAGGGCCCTGATGACCCAGGGCTTTTATTGAGTAATCCTTTCAGAGTCAACAGATGCAATCAAAGATAGCCTGGTCCGTCCCATTTAGTCTCCTTCTTTAAGCAATTGTTTATACAGGGAAGACTGACAGTTGGGGAATGGCCACACAGAATCGGAGAGCTCAGGGTTGGAAAACTCCCAAGAGGTCCTTCAGCAGGTTAGCAACTTTATTGCCACTTAGAGCCTGAGAACTTTACAAGCTATTCACCCCTTTTCAGCCAGGGTTTAATTTTCTTAAAATCACTATTGATTTGCCTCAACAACCAGTCTGTTTTCCATAGCCGTCAATGTTTTCTACCCATGAATCCATCCTGCTCTGTGCCGTGGGGTATACAGCTTTAGGCCCCTCCCCAGCGAGTGCCTGTCTTCCTGCCCACCGGGCACACTCACTGTGGTGACATCAATCACTCCACGGGAGGTGGCTGCAGATAACTGCAGCCTCTACCCCACCAGCACTGTTTAACGAAAGGCAGAGAATACTGAATTTGCAGCAAACATCCTGTATCTTTGCCTTGTCCTTCTTCAAGTGTAGATTTCACAGAACTCAATCTTGTTCAAAGAGGGGAATTACTGCCTGCCCCGAAGGGGGAGTCAGGGAGTCTCCTACTCCCCTGTTCATTTGCACTCCCTATAAAAGACAGTGAGGAAAGGTCTAATCTTCCTCACCTTGAGCAATCATGTAAAGAGTAGTGGAAAAACAACAACAAAAAACCAACCAGTCTTTTCAAAGCCTGCCTTCTATACTGAATGTCAGTTTTTCAGGGAGTAAATCATCTTGATGAAAATTATTCTGATTCTTTGATTTTTTTTTCCAGCTATTTTGCTGCCTGACTTTGAGACATTTCAGTACTCATTAAAAATTTCTCTTTCACACAAAACAGAGAAAATGAGAGATTTTACTTGAACCAGGCAATTTGACTCTCTTTTTCAGAGTAGTTGATGTATACACAGGTATATTTATTTCATCTCTTTTCCGCATACATCGTTGCTTAGACACAGATTTTCAAGAAAGGAAATCCATGTATCATTTATTAAGTATGCAACATAACTGATGCATATTATTTGTAAGAATTTTAACATATCTACTAAATAATCCATCTCTAATTGTGGCATTCAAAAAACTCTGGAGTTTGAGATGCTAACTTCATTTTTAAAAATAAAAGCCCCACTTTCTTAGCTAAAAGTGTAAATTTTTAGTGGCTGAAGTGGTTGCCCTCTCAGGCATCTCTAGAACAGAGGATGTGTTATTTAGGGGACCGTGTTATTTAGGGGACCGTGTCATTGGATATGCAGGATAAGTAACCTCATTAAGGATGTAATATGAAGGCAATACACTGGTATATAAATAAGGTCAAGAGGCCTATAAAGGAAAACCAGGAGAATTAGCTGGAAGTATGGCAGTCCACTTACATTACTCATTTGCTGGATTGCTTTTATTTTTTGTGCTTTATGATTCCTTTTAGTCATTTATGTATTTTGATTCCTCATGGTGGATTTTTGTGACTTACAGTAAAAGTATCTAAGTGACTTGCATGAAATAAAGTAACTGATAATTAGTATGTGTGTGTGTGTGCTTGTGTGCATGTGTGTACTTATACATATAAGTACAGTTCAGGCAGGGGAGGGGCAGGGGGCAGGCATAGCCAGCTGTAGAGGAAGAGACACTAATCTGAGCATTGAGCTGTTTGAATCCAAAAGCAACTCCTTGAACCAGCCAAGTTCAAGGTAAGAAAGATGAGCAGTTAGCTAAGGTCTGCAGTAAGAGTTCATCTTTGGGTGATGAACTTTAGAATTCAGGATGTTGCATGCACTTAACTTAGAATTCTACGTATCTTTCCCAAGAATTCAATTAGTTACCTAGAAATTTGAAACTACAATTGACAAGGTGATATAGATGTGTTTAATAAATACTCCATTCATACAGAATGGAGATGTAAAATAAGCAAGAGAGGTGATTTATAAGATGTTAAGGAGCACTTAATTGATCATAGAGCAGCAGTCTCTCGAAGACTGGGCAATCTTAGGAATAGTTCAAGGTGATGTTTTCTTGAAAATGTTAGGGTGTTTAGGTCATCCTCATGGGTTTATCTTGAGGGTTAAATAATAAGGTGGGAGGAAATCATTTATTCTCTTTTTCCTCCATTCGACAAATATTTATCCTGCTCTAACTAGCTATCAGCATGGTGCCAGATACTAGGGTTATAGAAGCAATTTGAATAAAACTTTGCCACTGCCCTCAAGGAGTGCACAAATTAAGTGAATGCTTAGATCTTAGCAAATTGCTTGGCATGTATGAGGCTCAACAAATAGTTCCTTTACTTTATCCATTTTTAGAATCTGGTGGATGTCTCTTCTAAACCTTAAAACTGTGAAGCTGTGAATGATCTTTGATGTGTGAAAATATAATGTTCTTTTATTCACCCACTAAATAGTTCCTGAATGCCTATTGTGTGAATATGGATTATTACTAGGACCTATGTGAAATTAAGTATTATTCTTGGTTGAAAATTCATAATATGTCCATGCATCTGGCATGACTGAGTGATTTAGGGGACATAAGAATTATTTGAAATGATATCTTTTCTTAAGATAATCCATTATAATGTTATACACAATTTTGTCGTGTTTGAACGCAGTGGTGGGTTGTCACGAGTTTTGTGTTTTGAGTCCAAAAAGCCGTCATGATCTGTTCCTTGTCTTTGCTATTAGTACTCTTTGCTGTTAGTATGGTTTCTCTTGTCCCATCCCATCTTCTGATGGACTTGTTTGTTGCCCCGTTGAAATGGAAGAAGCTTTCTGAGAGGAGACTTGCCTGTTCTCCAGACTAGGTGAACCCCCCAGTAATCAACCAGTCTTTTAAAGCAAGCACCCAGAAGCAAATCCTGACTGGTATGATGCTCATTGCCTTTCATTATAAATACTTCTTTAATGTGTGTCTTTCTGGTTTGAGTATGGTCAATATTTGTTGAATGAAAGAAAAGGAGAATAAATGAATTCTGCCTGGCTCATAAAATACACATGGTATTCTGACTACCACAGAATATATCAGAAATAAAAGACGTTTTTCCACTCTTGTGTAGCCCATGCTGGCTGCCCTGAGGCTACCAAGCCCCTTTGATGATTGATTGTGCCTTGCTGTATTCTGATAATCCCTTTTTGGGAGCAAGTTGCACAATTTATGGGTTGCAGTGAGGCTGAATTAAATTGAAATTTTGTGTTCACCTAAATTTCGGAAATATCAAGTTAAACCATGTTAAAGTTAATAGTTTTAACAGTAGGACTTCTCAGGGTCTTTACTACTTAATGTGCATGGTGCATCTCTGACAAGATAATGTGATGTGTAGCATTTTTCAAAAGTATTTGACTTTTGAACCCCTTTTATTTTTCATGGAGCATTTTGTGCAAACTTGAGGTCTTCCATACACCCTTTGAGAAGCTCTGGGTTTGGCTGTCCTAAGGAAGAAACACAATTCTCCCAAGAGTGAGGACAGATAATTGAGCTCAATTACTTTCTGCTAAATTTCTGCTAAGGGGAACTCAACTTCTATTGTTCTCAAAGAAAGGAAATATAATCAAATGCTAACTCTGGTAAATGATAGGAAATGAACTTCCAAGGGTTAAGAAAAGCCAGACATCCTTCCCAGCAGCATCCTCTCCACATGACCGACCTCAAGGCCACCCTAAAGCTGCCAACCAAATGCCTGGGGAGATTCCCATGGAAGCAGATGGTGCTGCCTGGAGACAGTTGTCCACAGCTTGGCATCTGGGCTTTGAGTGCTGTCCAGCTGAGGACCGATCAGGCAGAATACTGGGTGATAGGCTTCCTACTGAAATCCATTAGCACTCAGGCACTGCCCATCCTTCTTTTTCTTAAAAACGGAATTTGTGTTCTCTGAAATTATATCAGAAACACCGGCCAATGAAATGTGTAAGGCAAATTGTGGCCTTTAAAAGAACACATTTAGAAAAGATAGAAAAGTATTAACATAGGGTCCACCCATTTAGTCTGTATGATACTAGGACCTAACCCTGAAGTACATGGAGAGAAGGTTTCCATGTTGCTTTTCTACATTGAATACCTTTTAAACATGGACTGTCTCCTTGAACAAACTTCAGTTAGGCTCCTCTGAGCCCTCTTCTTGACTAGGCCTAGACCTTTCCATGTTCACCTTTGCCAAGTCCAGTTTTAGCAGAAATCCTGCTGAGTCGGTTTAGAGAGAATCCTCTCATCCTTGATGTCTGATCACTCCAGTGTGCCCTCACCGAGATCCCTGTAAGTTGGTTTAGCAAGTTTCCCTTCCCTGCAGGTCTTACCTTAGTAATTTTCCATCCACTGGCCTGCCTCACTCTGTTCCCTGGCTATAAATTCCTACTTGCCCTTGCTGTATTTAGTGTTTCGTCCAATCTCTCTCTCCTATTGCAATCATCTTCGATAAAGTCTTCCTTACCATTTTAACAAGTATCAGAATAACTTTTTCTTTAATATTATACATGCCTTTTCTACTGCGAGGCTCTCTGTTTGGGATCCTTTGTGCTTAATTGTAATTAGCAAAGGTAAAAAATAAAATGATTTTAGAAGGAATGCCTTGAACAGAGATACTCGTTTTCTCTTTGGCTGATTCAGAAACAGAACTGTGGTACCATAAGAGCTAAGAGGAAGGCTCCTCACTAGGAGATGAGAGAGGAGTTAGTCCCTGAATTAAACCCACAGGCAGAAGAGATTTCTGCATCGTTTAAAATATAACGGCCCAAGAATAATAATAAATACAGGATATTACACATACAGCATATCATTTCTGTGATTTTATCTAATGATTATTTTAAAAATTAAGCATCATATTAAAATTAATTTTAAAAATTTTACAGAAAAATGATATACCCATTAAAAAATCATTTCCCATGCCTCATCTAAACAGAAGTTTTACTTTTTCTGGAGTTCTCCTAGCTGGAACTCAAGATATCATACATCTTACTTTGTCTGGGGCAGCCCTGGTTTGCAGCAATTGTTCCAGAGCCCTATCCAGCTTAGCATTTGTCCTGAAAAAAAAAAACAAAACTGTCCATTTGGACTGTGAATTGTTTGAATCCCTTGCCCTATCTGATATTAGATATGCCAAAATGTCACAGTGCACCCACCTGTGTTCACCCACACTCCTTGTCACTTACTATATCGGATACTTCTTATTCAGCAATGGGGATTCTCTTGGTTTTGATTGTTTTCTTAGCCTTTGGCCACTTGTTTTATCCCAGCCACTGTAAGGCCAAATTCATATGACTCTACCCAGCATGTCTGAAGCAACTGACTTCACTTGAGTGTAACCCAGTGGTGCCTCTTGTCATGCCTGCATCATCCACCTTTCCCTCCTTGTCTTGAGCTTTCTCTGCAGCCCTTGAGGTGTGAAACTCTGTAAGACTCACTCTGCCCCCAGTGCGTGGGCAACGTGGGATGTGGGAGGAGTTTACACCTTGGCTAATGGGGGACAAGAACTAGTAATCTGGTCGGGCGCGGTGGTTCACACCTGTAATCCCAGCACTTTGGGAGGCCTATGCGGGTGGATTACCTGAGGTCAGGTGTTCAAGACCAGCCTGGCCAACATGATGAAACCCCATCTCTACTAAAAATATAAAAATTAGCTGGGCACGGTGGGCAGGCTCCTGCAATCCCAGCTACTCAGGAGGCTGAGGTAGGAGAATCGCTTGAACCTGGGAGGCAGAGGTTGCATTGAGCCGAGATCGCACCATTGCACTTCAGCCTGGGTGACAGAGCGAGACTCGCCTCAAAAAAACAAAACAAAACAAAACAAAACAAAACAAAACAAAACAGAAAACAACCCTTCCCCCTCCAAAAAAAACTGTACTCCCTTATTTCTCCTGAGACACAGTTTATAGGCATCTGGCAGACAGAGCAACCAGTTGCACATGATACCAACTATTGGGCAGCTTGATAACATGCTGCTACTTCCCCTTCTTCTTTTCCTGCCTCATTCTGCTTTTCTCTAACTCCTGCTTTCTTGAGACAGAATGCTTTAACAAAATGGCAGTCCCTAAGGTTTTGTCTGGGGCTCCGCTTTTCGAGGAACTCAGGCTATTCAGTGTATTCTAACTCTTTCAGCTCTACACCTCCCTTCTCACTCTTCCCCATGATTCTGGAGCTGGAACTCTGCGAACAACATCTCCCAGACTCCTTTGCTAGTTTGCTTACAGGTTCTGCCAATAGGAAGAGTAGAGAGAAATCTGGAATTGGAATAGAATAAGCAAGAAAAAAAGGATTTCTTATTTTTTCCTCTTTTTGATGTGTGGCCCCAGCATTGGAAGTTAACTTCAACTGTGGTTAAAGACCCCAGCCTCCAGCTTCTTTTGCCATTCCCCAAACCAGCCTCTTGCATCCTCAGAAGCAGGAGCGGCAGGTGGCAGCCCCTCTGAGCACCAACTCCAGTCTCCAGGCTGGAGTGCAATGACACAATCTTGGATCACTGTAACTTCTACCTCCTAGGTTCAAGCAATTCTCCCACTTCAGCCTCCCGAGTAGCTGGAATTACAGGCATGTGCCACCATACCCGGCTAATTTTTTTTAATTTTATTTTTAGTAGAGACGGGGTTTTGCCATGTTGGCCAGGCTGGTCTCAAACTCCTGACCTCAAGTGATCTGCCTGCCTCGGCCTCCCAAAGTGCTGGGATTACAGCCATGAACCACCGCGCCCGGCCCATATCTTAAATCTTAAAAGCAACTTATTCCAGTAGATACTGTTCTCTTTGTTTTACAAAAAAACAAAACAAGGTTCAGAATTTAGTGACTTGCTTTGACTTACATGAGGCTGCTCCACTAACAGGTGCCACTGTTTAAATTCATACCCAATCCCACTGGCCCAGAGCTGGGATCTGGCACTACCCTGCACCACTGTTAGCATCTCTGTCCTCTGCTCACTTCTGTAGGAAAGCTGAAACAAGAACACTGAGCCTCGTAATTCCACTAAAGGTTACAGAAATTTTATTTTATATTGCAAATATGAAATCTGCAAATAATGAGGGTGGACTGTAATAAATTTAGAACATTACTTGTACACAGAAAATGTTCAAATATTCACTGTGACCTTGCCATTTCCATTTTATAGTTGAGAATATTTAGTTCACTTAAATATTTGTGTGTGGCAGAGACAGAATTCAATTCTGGACCTGGTTCATTTTATTTCAGTACTTGTATTTTCAACTATTATGCTGTGTTGTTTCCAAGTTTCTAAAAAAATCTTTGTAATATTTTGTGACCATGTAATATTTTATCACTCTGATGAATAATTATTTTCTTAACTGTTTCTATAGTATAAAGATATAGTCTGGTTTCTATTTTTTTATTTAAAAAAATAATTCATGGCTGGGCGCGGTGGCTCACGCCTGTAATCTCAGCACTTTGGAAGGCCGAGATGGGTGGATCACAAGGTCAAGAGATAGAGACCATCCTGGCCAATACGGTGAAACCCTGTCTCTACTAAAAGTACAAAAATTAGCTGGGCGTGGTGGTGCGTGCCTGTAGTCCCACCTACTCAGGAGGCTGAAGCAGGGGAATTGCTTGAACCCGGGAGGCGGAGGTTGCAGTGAGCCAAGATCGTGCCACTGCACCACAGCCTGGTGACAGAGCGAGACTCAATCTCAAAATAATAATAATAATTCACTAGATGTATATATGCTTTTATCATTTTGCTTCTCATGAAACTCTCAGGAATAATAATCTATCTCAGGCAATATAACTATCTTTAAGACTTCTGCTGTGTTAGAATTTTATTTTCCACAAAGGGATTGCTTTAAGTCCATGTAACCAGCTTTAGATCAGAGTATCATTTTTTGCCAAAATCACACCTGTTCTAAAATTGTTATCAGCATAACATTATTTCTTGAAGTTGCCTTAAGTTATTCATCCTGAAAAAATATTTTCCCATATCTTTTTTTTGAGGTATCTGTGATATCTTTTTTACCTTTAATGATTGAAATATTGCTGTTTGTCTTATACATTTGTATTTTCTATATGTTAAAGAGAAACTTTAATCTGTTGTATTTAATGCAAATGTTTTTTAGTCTGTTATTACCCCTTTAAAATTAGGTTGGTTGTATTTTTATTGTAGAAGTGATTGCACAATTGAATTTTTCATAGAATTCATTATTTGTTTTGTTGTCCTGGTCAGAGGTCAGAATAAAGCCGGTAACAAACCAGCAGCTTGAATGGATTATGGTGGGGGTGGTGAGAGTGGGAAGAGAATTTGATCTGCCGTTTTAATCTTTTCATTTTAAACTTTTCTCATTTGTAAAAATGAGTAAAATTGAGAAGATAGTCTCTAAGGCCTCTTCTGCCACTAAAATCATTTGGTACTAACTTGAATCAAGTATGATTTGGGATAAATGTGGGGGAAAATCTCCTTATTTTGCTAAATCTGTTTGTGATGTGGAAACTGTATTAGTCTGCTGAGGCTGCCATAACAAATGCCATAGACTGAGTGGCTTAAACGACATAAATTTTCTCACAGTTCTGGAAGCTGGAAGTTCAAGACCAAGGTACCAGCAGTTGGTCTCTGGTGAAGCCTTTTTCTGGCTTATAGACAGACACTTTTCCCATGTCCTTACATGACTTTTCTCTGCGTGCAAAGAGAGAAAGATCTCTGTTGTCTCTTCCTCTTCTTATAAGGATGCCAGTCCTATTGGATTAGGGCCCACCCATACGATCTCATTTAACCTCAGCTCTCTCCTGAAAGGTCTTACCTCCAAATAATCTCACTGGAGGTTAAAGTTTCAACATATGAATTTTGGGGGGACCTAACTTAATCCCTAATCGTAGCCAACTTCATTCAGTGAATGGTGCTACACCAGTGCAATAATGTTGTTAGAATTCTGACATCAGTGGAGTTGTGGATTGAAGATTCTAAAATGTGTGGACTTTTCCAATCTCTTTTCCTAGCTTCCCCCCACTTATTCCAGGAACCGTTCGCTGGCCTTCCTTCCATGTTTCCTTGAGCAGACCACCACATTCCACCTTCAGGCCTTTGCATCATCTCTTCCCCTGCGTGGGTACTTGTTCTCCTGGTCTTTGATGGCCCAGCTTCTTCGTCATTCTGGTCTTAGCTCCTCAGCCCAGCCCTTCTCTGTACCAAACTGTTTTTTGTTCTTGCATAGCACTGCCCTCTCCTGAAATTAACTCCCTTGTTTATTTGTTTACTTGTTTACTGATTGCCTGTCTTCCTATTCATAGAATATGAACTCCATGAGGGCCAGGGTCTTTTACTATAGTGCCCGTTACATACCAGGCTCTCAAAATTATTGATTGATGAAAAGCTGTTACCAACATTTCAAGTTATTCCAAACATAAAATGGAAAGGGGTAACTTTGTGACAAATATAGCAGATATTGAGGTGGCCATTGACACCAAAACAAAGTCTATCTGTGGAGATTTAAGCTGCTTATAAGCATAGGACATACAAAGAGTTATCCCTTAGGAATTCTCCTTCACTTTCCAAAATGTCAAGGCATTTATACCCAATTTGTATACTACATGACTTAGTCTACTCTGAGTGTTGTCTGTGACAGCAAGAAGGAATTACCTTCTGAGGTTAATATTCAAGAAAACAAAACTTTATTAGAACACAGATATCATACTAAGATTCAAGATGATTTGAACTCCCTATCAGGCTTTACAATACAACAAAGAATTCTAGCTTGTAGGTGCCACTGACTGGCAAATTATTCCTAAGGAATTATTTATTGGGTGCCAGAATGCAGTTAAGAAACATAAAGACTTGGTCTCCATTTAATGGCTGTTCTTCTAGACAGGAAATACAAAACAACTAAGATAGCCAAAATATAGCAACTGAAAGAAGGAAACAAGTTAAAGGTGAATGACTCCTTAGTTGGCATTTCTTTTACTTGTACCGAACATTTAATTGATTGACCCTATTTACTTTTTGATATACAGAATTGAATTGCTCCTTCTAATCCCTTCAATATTTCAATGGCTGACTTGGTTTTATTTTGAAATCTGTATGACATATATTAAAATAATTATGTTTTGAGGACTAAGCCATGTTTGTACATGCAGAGAATTAATAAAATCTGTCATGAAAATCTTTGGTTTACATTACATTAAATTTTTCCCATGCATTTTTATTTAGCCTCAGAGGATAGAAGATATAAAAATTAAAATAAAGCATATATGCAGTACATTCCAAGAAAGATAGATAATTCTATCCTTTTATCTCTCTTGTGTGGGTTATAAGCTTTTACTAAGCTAAATTACGTTCATAAGCAAGCTGAAATATACAATTTATTTTATGAAAATAATCTATGTTTAGTTATAAATTATAGGAAGCACAGATTCTTTTCTAATAGGATTTTGAGATGATAAAGTGGGAACATATAAAATTGAGTATCTTTATTTTGGTACCTTCAAATGCATTTTATGTTGAGAGGGAAAATGGGGTATTAAATATTAAAAAAATTGAGCGAAACACTAATCTTTCGGTTAATTCAAACTAGGACAGTTTCCTTCCATATAGGCTCGGAACTCTTTTCCATTGATTTGGGAATTCAAGAATAGTTATTTCACCGATTTTCTTTAAATTTGTCTCAAGCGTTGCTAGAAGATGTGTGGCAGCAGAAAGAGTTAAAAGCTCAGGGAGAAAAACTCATGTCCCCTAGCTGTGAGGGACTTGAAAAGCATGAAGAACATTAACAACTTTAGGGGGTTCTCCCCTTATAATTCTTGATCTTTGCAGCCTGGATCTACATGAAACATAAATCAACCAGTTAATGCAATAAGTTCAAGTGAACAATTTGTCAGTTTTAATAGAAAAAGAAAGTTAAATCAGAGCTTGACTAAATTTGAATCATCCTGGTTAAATTAGTCGAAACAGCAGTTAAATTATATGCTCTCATATAAGTTCACTAATGGGTGACTAGAGTTACATGGCTTCAGCATCTATGTCTTACTTCCCCATTGCTGCTGCTTCTCCTCTGAGGATGACCGTGGCTGCTACAATCGCTTTTGTTCTCTTTCTCTCTTTCTCTGTGTGTGTGTCTTGGGGAGAGGACACTGCCCTTTTCATAGAATGCCCCCAGTCTAATCCCATCAATATTTCAATGGCTGACTTGGTTTTGTTTTGCAATCTGTATTATTGTAAAGTGTAAGGTAAGCCTCCTTTTTTTAATCCTCTGGTGGGTAGTAGAGGTCAGCCTGTAACTTTACCCCCACCCCTGCTCCCATCACCACCCTGCAAGTTGTACAGACAAGAAAAGGGAAAAGCAAGTTTAGACCCCCTCTCCGGTAGCCCGCTGCCTGGATCCATGTGGTGGAAGCCAGCATTCCACGTTTACCTTCCCCTTCTTCCACAAGTAATGCTCCAGGTGTCTTCAGACCTTGGTGTTCTGAAACATACTGACTCCCAGATGCAGAAAAGGGGACCAGAGTTCCCTTATTTGAATCCGAGCCCCACTGAGTTCTCATTTCCCATCCTGTGAAGGGCTTCTTTCCAGGGATAGTGACAGTAGGAATTTTTTTTCCATAGAGAAAACCAGCCCTTACCTTTAGAAGGTTAGTCTGTTAGTCTGGCTTCCAAAAAGGTAGTTTTTTTTTTTGTTGTTAAATTTTCAATTTTTGTTGGTACATAGTAGACATACATATTTATGGGATATGTGAAATATTTTGATATAGGCATGCAATGCATAATAATCACATCATGGAGAATGGAATATCCATTTTTTCAAGCATTTATCCTTTGTTTTACACACAATTCAATTATACTCTTTATGTTAAAATGTACGATTAAGTTATTAATGATTATAGTCACCCTGTTGTGCTATCAAATAGTAGGTCTTATTCATTCATTTAAATTACTTTTTGTATCCATTGACTGTCTTCACCTCTCCCCACCCCTCCAGGACCCTTTCCAGCCTCTGATAACCTTCCTTCTACTCTCTATAACAGCAGTCCCCAACCTTTTGGGTAGCAGGGACTGGTTTTCTAGAAGACATTTTTTTCAAGGATGCGGGAAGGGGTGGGGGATGGTTTGGGGATGATTCAAGGGCATTATATTTATCAACAGATTCTCATAAGGAGCACGCATCCAAGATCCCTTGCACGTGTAGTTCACAATAAGATTTGTGCTCCTAAGAGAATCTAATGCTGCCGTGGATCTGACAGTGGGTGGAGCTCAGGCGGTAATGCTCGCTGGCTGCTCACCTCCCACTGTGTGACCCCATTCCTAACAAGCCACAGACCAGTACAGGTACCAGACTATGGCCTGGGGGTTGGGGCCCTGCTCTATAAAATAGTTATTTGAAGTCTGCATCAACTCGTGTTGCATAATCTGTTTCATTCATACATGCATGATACCACGTATGGGATACCAATAATCTAGGTTGTAGTTCAGTCTTTTTAAATCTCTCTCAAGTTTTCAAAATCTTGGTGCATAATCTCACCTATATGGTTAAGACTGTTAGAAGTATCAGTGTGTATGTTACCTAAGTTAACCTCAGATCTTACCTATACCACTCACTTTTAATTTTTCATTATGCTGTTCATCAAAAGGTTCACAAATAATTTTCATATGTTAATTAATATTTCTATTATTCTTTTAAAATGTGTTGCTCTACTAATTCAGTGCATGATGCCTAAAAAAGCTTAAGCTTTTTGATCTAATATGACAAGGCAAAGAAAATAATGATTGAAGTAATCAAATTCCCAAATGCTGATTTTAACTTCTGTATTTACAATGGAAATCGCTTTTTCACATTAGAAAATTAATGCCAATGAATCTTTCATATCCAAATATACTAATATTGCTTTATTAAAATATAATTGAGAAATGGTTGTTGAAACAAAAAAATAGAACAATAGTATAAAAATAGAAAACATATGTCAGGAAACATTGTCACCTTGTATCCAGTCTGGGGATTAATATCACACAAACAGCCTGAAGCTTGAGTTGAGTGCTCTTTACAGCCTGCTAAGTAGGTTCTAAGAGCAGAACTGCATGATTGTGATGAGTAAAAACAATTTAACTGGTTGAATTTGCAATCAAGAAGGGACCTTGAATGGATTCAGATTCTTTTAAAATGGAGGAAAGGTGATTCACCAGGGCACATCCATCACTTATGGAAACCTAATTGTAAATCTGAATAAAGACTAAAGAAATAAATGCCTTTTCAAGCCCTTTGTTTCTTTGCCTTATTCAGTGTTCAATGAGGATCGCACTGAATTAGTTCAAGAAATCAGAGAATGGAAATATATTCCAAGGTTTAAAGGTGTTTTCAGCTACTCCAGATCCAGAAGGAGGGTGGGCTAGGCATCCAAGGCCAGTGAGTGGAAGACAATTGGAAAGACTAAGGCCACCGTTGGAAGGGCAATCCCCAACATGCAGGTGGTCAGTCAGCAAGGAGAAAAGCAGATATGAGCCCTCTAGGGAGGGATGCAGAGGCAAAGAGGTGAGCAACCTGTTTAATAATGATGTGTGTTTAACAGGGAGTCTAGGTTTCTTCCCGTCCTTGCTTCCTGGCCTACTGGAGACAGATTTGGCCTGTTGGAACCCAGTGTGAAGTGGAGGTGATAATCTCCTGGAACTTTCTTCATCAGACCCACTCCTCTGCATGGGAGTGTCAGAGGCATGTGAACCAGAGCAACTCCATCTTGAATAGGAGCTGGGTAAAATGAGGCTGAGACCTATTAGGCTGCATTCCCAGACGGTAAAGGCATTCTAAGTCACAGGATAAGATAGGAGGTCGGCACAAGATACAGGTCATAAAGACCTTGCTGATAAAACAGATTGCGGTAAAGAAGCCAGGCAAAACCCACCAAAACCAAGATGGGCACGGGAGCGACCTCAGGTTGTCCTCACTGCAATACTCCCACCAGTGCCAAGACAGTTTGCAAATGCCATGGCAACATTAGGAAGTTACCTTATATGGTCTAAAAAGAGAAGGCATGACTAATCTACCCCTTATTGAGCATATAATCAAGAAATAACCATAAAAATGGGCTACCAGCAGCCTTCGGGGCTGCTCTGTCTATGGAGTAGCCATTCTTTTATTCCTCTACTTTCTTAATAGACTTGCTTTCACTTTACTTTATGGACTTGTCCTGAATTCTTTCTTGCACAAGATCCAAGAACTCTCTCTTGGGGTCCGGATTGGGACCCCTTTCCTGTAATAGGAGGAACTTAGCTCCCAACCTTATCTTGCAGCACAACAACCCTGGAAGACAGTTGGAGGAGACTAGATTATGAGTGTGGTTAGGAAATGTTTTGTAGAACAGCTTAGATAGTAATAACTATTAACTGTTGTGGAGTCTTCACTGCTGTATGTGTTTCACAGACATTATTTCTGTGAGGTCAGTTTGATGATCTTCATATTAAAGATGCAGAAATTTTGGCTTACAGAGGTTAAACCACATATTCTAAATAAAACGTGGGGCTGAGATTCAAATCTAGCTCTGATTCCAAATCTTATGTTCTTAACAACCATGATCTATTTCTTCTAACTTTGGCAACTAGACAAGTTAATGAATTTGGCTAATTACTGGATCCCAGACTGTATTTCCTCTCCTGAAGCCCTTCAGCTGTAACATAGCTTTCTGGGGACCCATTCTGTCCTTTGGTTTTAGCCAGTACAAGCTAGGCAATTAGGACCATCTAGAATCAAAGAAAAATTCATCTGTCACTTATGCTACCCAGGAAAATATGTTTCAAAATTGATTGCAACCTTATGAGTTTTTTTAAAACTTTTATTTTAGGTTCAGGGATACATGTGCACGTTTGTTATATAGGTAAACTGTGTGTCACAGAGATTTGGTGTACAGATAATTTTGTTACCCAGCTAATAAGCATAGTACCAGACAGGTATTTTTTCTGATCCTCTTCCTCCTCCTACCCTCCTCCCTCAAGCAGGCCCCAGTATCTGTTGTTCCCCTTCTAGTATCCATGTGTTCTTATCATTTGGCTCCCACTTATGGGTGAGAACATGTGGTATTTGATTTTCTGTTCCTGCATTAGTTTGTATAGGATAATGGCCTTCAGCTCCATCCATGTTGCTGCAAAAGCCATGACCTTGTTCTTTTTTTATGGCTGCATAGTGTTTCATGGTGTATATGTACCACATTTTCTTTATCCAGTCTACCATTGATGGACACTTAGGCTGATTCCATGTGTTTGCTATCATGAATAGTGCTATATTAAATGTACACATGCATTTGTCTTTATGGTAGAATGTTTTATATTCCTTTGGGTATATATCCAATAAAGGGATTGTTGGTTTGAATGGTAGTTCTGTTTTAAGTTCTCTGAGGAATCACCATACTGCTTTCCACAGTGGTTTAACTAATTTACACTCCTACCAGCAGTGTATAAGTGTTCCCTTTTCTCTGCAACCTCACCAGTATCTATTATTTTTAGACTTCTTGGTAATAGCCATTCTGACTGGTGTGAGATGGTATCTCATTGTGGTTTTGATTTGCATTTCTCCACTGATCAGTGATGTTGAATTTTTTTTCATATACTTGTTGGCTGCATGTATATCTTCTCTTGAAAAGTGCCTATACATGTCCTTTGCCCACTTTTTAATGGGGTTGTTTATTTTTTGCTTGTAAATTTGTTTAAGTTTCTATAGATGCTGTATATTAGACCTTTGTCAGATGCGTAGTTTGCACATATTTTCTCCCATTTTGTGGGTTGTCTTTTTACTCTGTTGATAGTTTATTTTGCTGTGCAGAAGCTCTTTAGTTTAATTAGGTCCCATTTGTCAATTTTTGTTTTTGTTGTAATTGCTTTTGGCATCTTTGTTATTAAATCTTTGTCAGGCCAGGTCCTATGTCTAGAATGGCATTTCCTAGGTTATCTTCCAGAGTTTTTATAGTTTTGGGGTTTACTTTTAAGTCTTCAATCCATCTTGAGTTGATTTTTGTATATGATTGTAAGGAAGGGGTCCAGTTTCAATCTACTGCATTTGTCTAGCCAGTTATCCCAGCACCATTTAGTGAATAGGGAGTCATTTACCCACTGCTTGTTTTTGTCAGTTTTGTCGAAGATCAGTTGTGCAACCTTATGACTTTTTATAAATCCATTTATATCATGTTTAAAAATTGATTTTGAGACCATAATAGTTTTCCATAAATAAAAACTGAATGACAGAAAATCTGATGGTAGTGTTAACTATAATTTCAAAGTTTAATAAGATTATTGAAAGATAGCCAATTTTTGTAGATGGGTCATGATTTTTATCTTAATTTGTAAGCCAATTTGTAAGCCTTTTCTCATAATTCCAAATAATTCCAGGTGAATAGTTGGCCCTTCTGCTGACTTTATGTAAGCACATGGACTACTTGTGTTCTAGTTTATGCCATCTTTTGTAGATGTAAATAGACATCCTTCTTCCTGCTTGCTGGTGAAACCCAAATTTTGTTCAGGTTTCTACCCTTTCCCCTAGCCAACATGGTTATCCTAGTTCTCCTATCAGAGTTTAATTTAAGACATGGTATACGATCCAGTTTTAGACATTGAGATGCAAAGTGAAATCTGTTGAGTGGTTCTTGAGAAGGTTTTGTTGCTGTTAAAAATGAGACACACAGGAAGAGACGTGCTTTTCTTCCATTGGATATTCTTATGATGGATGTGATCACTGGAATAGTGGTAGCCATATTGCAACCATGAGGGAGTCTGTCTGAGAATAGTAGAGTAGAAAAATGGGAAAATATTGGATCCTCAATGGCTTGCTTAAATTTTTAATCCTGAAGGCAACAGAGTTATTATATATAAAATGAATATTTTTGCTGTGAATCACTTGTCATTTTTTTATTTGCAGCTCAAAATATTCTAAGTGATATAGATGATATCCAAATTTCATTATCATTTAAACACATTTTTATTATAGAAGGAACTTATATTTGGTTGATATCAGTATTCAAAAACAAATTCAAGTTTGCTATTGTTTATCACTGTGAATTATGCACTCCTTTAGGTAAGTAGAAGATGACATGAACTTCTTCCCGCTAAGAACAGAAGAAGAAATAAAAATGAGTGGATAAACAGGCAAAAATCAAAACATAGGATCTGACATTAAAGGGTAGTATAAACTTTATATGTTATTCATTCATTTAGAGAAGGTTAAATAATATTCCTTTTCCACAGCAATTGGAAAATTGGCTCAGTAAAGTGATTTATTTAATCTTTCTCTCAATTAGTGTTTACTATGTTTTAGCATTTACATTGGGCACTGTGCTTCCATCTAGTTTTATCATTTAGAGTTTCTGCCTTGGGGAGACAATAGCTAAGTAGGTGAGCTAAGAGATGTGTATTTTATTTATTTCTGTACAACAACTTACATGAAAACTTAGCAGGATAAAAACAGTTATCTCACAGTTTCTATGGGTCAGGAATCTAGGCATGGTTTAGCTGGCTCCTGCACTTCAGTGTTCTCATAAGGCTGAAATAAAAATGTTGGCCAAAGCTGTAGTCTTATCTGAAGGCTTGACTGGGGAAGGATCCACTTCCAAGCTCACTTACATGGGTATTGGCAGAATTCAGTTCTTGAAGAGCTGTTGGTTTGAGGGCTTCAACTCATTGTTGGTGTCTAGCCTCAGGCAACCCTCAGTTCCTTGCCATGTGAGCGTCTTTAACATGGTGTCTTACTTCACCAGAGTGTGTAAACTGAGAAGCTAAAAGGGAGTCCTCTAGTAAGATAGACATCACAGTGTTTTACAGTCAAATCATGAAATGACATCCCATCATGCTTGTTGTGTTCTGTTCATTAGAAGCAAGTCACTAGGTCTAGCCACTCTCAAAAGAAAGGGATTACATAAGGTCATGAACATTAAGAAATGGGAATCATTGAAAGTCATCTTCTAAATCTACTACAATACAAACATAAATGTTGTCAATGTACAGCAATAGGTGAAGGGTTCCACATGAGTAGAATAAAATAGGAATGCACAAGGAGGAGGAACCAATTCTGACTGGAGGCACAGGAAGGAGATAATATATATAGAGTAAGGTGTTGGAGCCAGATTCCATATCCTACTTATGTTCCAGCTTGAATGGCACACACATATGTCTCATAGCAGAAAACAGTTGGAAAATTGTTGTTCTTGGCAATAGAAACTGATATAGTTTCAATATGTGTCCCTGCCCAAATCTCACATTGAATCGTAATCCCCAGTGTGGGAGGTGGGGCGTGGTGGGAGGTGATTGGATCATGGAGGTGAGTTTCTCAGGAATGGTTTAGCACTATCCCCTTGATGCTGTTCTCATGATAGTAAGTTCTCATGAGATCTGGTTGTTTACAAGTGTGTGGCACCTCCCCCTCTCTCTCTTGCTTCTGCTTTCACCATGTGATGTTCCTGCTCCCGCTTTGCCTTCCACCAAGAATAAAAGCTCCCTGAGGCCCCCCAAGAAGCTGAGTGATGTTGGTGCAATGCTTGCACAGCCTGAAGAACCATGCGCCAGTTAAACCTATTTTTAAATAAATTACCCCATCTCAAATATTTCTTCATAGCAATGCAAGAACAGCCTAATACAGAGACTCATTGAAGTGTTGTGAACAGGGGAGTGACCCCTTGAAGCAGAACTTACAGAAGATTTGTGTGGGATTCATAAGGCTGAATGGAGGAGAAGGCTAGAGTCATAGAGGCCACATGAAGCAGGACCGCAGTATCGAGAATGCAGAATAATGACTCTGATTGTCTTTGGGTTGTGGAAATGCAAAGAAAAAAATGTGAGAAAGAGACAATGAGAAGAAAGAACAAATTGGTCTCAGTGACAATTGAATTGCAAGTTAACTGGAAAGGAGAACTTGAAGATAACTCATTTTTGCCCTGGACATCTAGGCTAATGCTAGTCTTATTAATGAGATAGGAAAGTCAAGAAGTTGATTTTTTTTTTTTTTTGGTGGGATGGGAAGATGATTGCTGTTTGAGATGCTTCTGGAGAACCCATCAAGTTGATACTCAGAATAGATTTCTCTCTTGACCTTACTTAATATTAGTAAAAGTCCTGTTTTAGGACATATGGGCAAAGACAAAGCTTACTAAACCACACTAATATCTGCTATTCTAGTAGACTGAAATGTATTACCATCATCATTGCAGTGCTGGGATTTTGTTTCTCAAATTCCCCAGGCTGAATTTCTACCTAAATAAATAGCCATCAGATGACATTATGGGTCAATTTATCATAAGGTATTATAGATAATCAATTTACAAATCATTTGGGAAAATTTTCCTGTAGCTGTTTTATTGGCTACTATTAGTGTCACATGTCAACCATCTATTATTTTGGATTTGCAATGGCAGCTATTCTTTTACAAGAAATCTAATCAATTTGGTGCACAGAGGCTTATTATTGAGGTAAAATTCACACAATGAGGAAAGCTGCTTTTGTTCCAATAGGACTATGCCATGGTTTGAGGTTCCATTAGTGTAGCAATATATAGTTACAACTGTACATAACTTGGCAGAGCAATTCTGATCGGTAAACTATGATGGTTTAATTCAAAAGTATGTTAGAAAATAAGAAAAATGGCAGTTTTGGAAAACTGCATTTTGTCCTTACAGTTGTAATACTGTACATGGAAACAATCATCTCAGCTTTTTATGAAAGTCAAAATTGTCAGCCATACGACACAGATTCCCCAGACACTGTATGAACAGACTCTAGGGCAAAACTGATGCCAGGGATAAAGTTGAAAACAAATTTATCCATCTCGTTCCCAGGCTGGTAACAGAGTCCGTGTATTCATTGGAACTTTGCCTCTGCCAAAACCAAGAATCTCTGGAATACAAAACACAGGCAGTTCTTAAAAGAAGCTTAACAATATGAAATAAAAACTAGTAGAATGACATTTATTTTGTGGTTCTTGTCTTGCTTTTAGCCACGTGAATTAATTGGTGCATAAATAACGAAAGGAGGCCAAAAGCCTAGAAATGGTCTGGAAAGGGCTCAATCAAGACATCAGATATAAATGAAGATATGGCTGAAGACAAAGGTCTTCTTTAGATTTCCTGGGTAGGCATCCCTCACCCTAGCAGGCACTTGGAAGGGTGAAAGAAGCCAGCTGGAGCCTATATGCCTGGTCAGTTGTGAGGAATCTCCTTACCCATTTGGGGTGGTGCAGAGGATATTCAGAACAGGAGGGTGCTGTGAACACATGATGACAAAAGTGGAAAACTTGCAAGGGAGAGGGAAGTTGCTGCCTGGTTTCTGGTGTTGAAATGCTTCTTGCATAAAGCAGTGTTTTTTCTTCACTTTTGTTTTTGGTTTTCATTTGACCATCCTGGCTCTCCCCAGTTCTTGTGAAATTGTCTTTATAGCTGGAAGGATTAGAATTCACCCTTTCCTAAAACAAATTTCTTAATTAGGGAGTTCCTGTAAAAAATTTGACATCTGATAGATTTGTATTTTTGTGGAAGTTTTGCTATGAGAGGAAAATACTATCTTATCAATTATCAGTGGAGAAATCACATCAGTTTTTTCTTTCTTTAAAAAGAAATTTCCTGAATATTTTTCAAAATCGAGCCTGTTGAAATAGATGTGGAAACAAATGTGTCCATTGGGTTCATTGACTGTAGTCTTTGCTGTGTGAGGAGAAGCACACATTGAGATGGCTGGGAGGAACCTCAATGACTGTGAAACCTCACAGCTGTGAATTGTACAAAGCATTTATGCCAAGCTTCAGTCCCGCACTCAACCCTCAACCCACATGTTAAAAACACAGTTTCCGGAAATCAAGGGCATATTAAGTCCCAATTGCAAATTGAGATGAAACCCCTAATCTGTTAAGAAACATTTAAACTAGAAAGAGTAAAAACGGTTTAATTTTTAAAACTATTACCTTTTTAAAGAGATGTAGATATTTTAATAATTTTCCTAAAGAAAAATGAAAACTGATGTGATGTTCATTCAAATAAACAACGTGCACTTACTAAGATCTACAGTGCATGTGATGTCCTAGTAATTGCTAATGGGAATGTAATGAGAAGTTTCCCAACTATAAGGGGAAACAAGACACAAATGCATACACTCTTGAATAGTAGTGAGAGATTTAAAAATAGCTGAATAAGACATTTTGGAAAAGATGAAACTATAGAGACAGGAAAAAGATCAGTGGTTGCCAGTGGACCGAGGGGAGAGAAGGAGGATGCACAAGTGAAGCACAGGGAATTTTCTTTTTTTTTTTTTTTTTGAGATGGAGTCTCACTCTGTCACCCAGGCTGGAGTGCAGTGGCACGATCTTGGCTTACTGCAACCTCTGCCTCCTGGGTTAAAGTGATTCTCCTGCCTCAGCCTCTTGAGTAGCTGGGATTACAGGCACGTGCCACCACGCCCAGCTAATTTTTGTATTTTTAGTAGAGACAGCATTTCACCATGTTGGCCAGGACAGGGGACTTTTAGAACAGGGAAATTATTACATTCTCCCTGAAAATGTAATGGTGGATACATGACATTATGCATTTGTCAAAACCCATAGAACTGGACAGCACCTGGAGTGAATCTTAATGTAAGCTATGGACTTTAGTTAACAGTCATGTATCAGTATTGGCTCATCTACTGTAACAACTGTACCATGGTAGTACAAGATGCTAATCATAAGAGAAACTGAGGGCAGGGGAGAGAGGGAACACTCTGTACTTTGTTCAATTTTCTGTAAAACTAAAACTACTCTAAAAATGTAAAGCCCATTAATAAAAATAACATGGCTGAAGAACCCAGTAGAAGAGATTTCACAGAACAGTTTTGCAAAATGCATAGTTTAGACAAAGCTTGTAATGGGAACTGAGAGGAAGGTGGTATTACTTCAAGCAAGTGTGGTCAGAAAGGACTGTGCAAAATACATAGGCTTAGTGAGATTTTGAATGATCAGTTTAGGTTGATGAAGAATTGCTGATTGAGCTGTGCTGGGAGGCTGGTGGGTGTGAGAAAATAATGGAGGTGGAGAGGTGTCATATGTAAGAGGGCAGCCAAACAATGGCTCAAATACAACATCTTTTCTTGGTGTGGAAGGTAGGCTTTAAATGAAGTTTAAAATAGTATTCTTGAAGGCCTTTGAATTAGTCCATTTTCATACTGCTATGGAGAAATGCTAGAGACTGGGTAATTTATAAAGAAAAAGAGGTTTAATGGACTCACAGTTCCACATGGCTGGGGAGGCCTCAAAATCATGGTGGAAGGCAAAGGAGGAGCAAAGGCATGTCTTACATGGCAGTAGGCAAGAGAGAGTATGCAGGGGAAGTGCCCTTTATAAAACCATCAGATCTCGTGAGACTTATTCATTATCATGAGAACAGTACCAGAAAGACCCACCCCCATGATTCAATTACTTCCCACCGGGTACCTCCCATGACACATGGGAATTATGAGAGTTACAATTCAAGATGAGATTTGGGTGGGGACACAGCCAAACCATATCAGCCTTGAATGTCAGGCTAAAGTGTATGGGCTTGACCTTCTAACCAAAAAGAAGCCACAGCAGGAAAATAATAGGGTCAAGGTGAAATTTGGGTATGTTTTTTAAAAGTAAAATACTACAAGGTAATTGCAAAAGTCCTGTGAAGGTACAAAAGGAGGAAAATATCCTTCTCCCATCCCATTCCTATAGGATGGCACCTGTGGAGTTAGAGACAGAATTCCTAGAGCAGACACTGTTGATGCTCTGCCCAGATTCCCGTGGGTCTCTTTTCCTTCTGTTTGCAGCTGCCCCCAGCTCCTGTGTGCTCTTGCTTCTAATGGCCCACACCTTCAGACTGCCTTCTGCAGACTGTCGGCTCCTGGAGCTGCTTTGTCTGCACATACACAGAGAACCAGAAGGGCCTGGGAAATTGTGCTCCCCACTGCCCCCATCCCTCCCTCTTTACCAGCCAGGCCTTATTTACTGACCTCAGCAGCTTCTTTTGGGTATATTTCTTTACTCTATCATTTGCACATGAATCATTGTCTCAGAATTTGCTTTTGGGGCCTCTGACCCAAGAAAATTCCCTAGTAACAACATCTGCAAGAGTTTAGCCTTAAAACTCTGGAAACTCTCTGGGTATCCATCTTGTTATCTGCATGATGAGGTCGTTGGTCTGTGACAGTAACTTCTAAATTTCCCTTTGGCTTTAGCCTTTTAAGATCTCAGCTCTGTCTTCTACTGTGGTCAGGGTTAAAACTGAAATTCTTAGGAAATAATCTCTGTCCTGATTCCAGGAATGGCCCCAATAATTTTATGTAATTTTTCAGTAATCACCTGTATTACCAGCCGAGATGAGAGCAGTCAACATACCAGCAATTAAGAATGCATTGGCTTTATAAGAACCACTTGCTTAACTAGTACAGGTAATTTGGGAGAAAGAAGAAATATATACAGATTAAAGGAAAATTGTTAAATTAGAGAAGAATAAGGTGAAGGTAAAGAATTTTCATCCAAAGAAAAAGAAGACAATGTTTGAGCAAAATAAATGGAAGCTAGACTCAAAGACCAAAAGAGAGAAGTAGGGACACATTTCAAACTTACACAAGAGATGTTTACATGGGAGAAGGATGATCAAAAGCCAGTTTGAGTCAAGAAATATAACCAAACTCACTGTCTCATTATTTTCTCCACAAAAGGCACTACAAAAGTTCTGAGGGTTATAGTGTCTATGAAGAGTTAATCTTCTCGGGAGTGTTAAAATAGGACAACTGCATTAAGAGGCAAAAATGGAAAGTCAAACATGTTAAAAACAGAATTACTTTTGGGCAAAGTTGTGAAGAAAGCACAGGGCCTGAGGTACTCTTCTACCACTTCTTTTTAACATTTCTCCTTCACAGTCCTTCATGGTGTCCACCCCTCAGATGCCAAGGCCAGCCAAACCCTCTCTCCAAGTGACATGGCACCCCACACTCCAACAGCCTCCTCCCTCCTCATTGTGGTCTCCACCCATTTGGGTTCTTCTCATCTCTCAACATATATTTTCTTCCTCTAGATCTCATTCTCCAATAATGTGTTAATGGGTGGAAATGGCTTATTAATTACTTTAAGTAATCTGTCAATGTGCTGGCTAGATAACTGATTACCTTCTTGGATGGCTGGCTAGATAACTGATTACCTTTTTGGATAGCAGTGTTCTAACTTTTAAAGATGAATACTTAGCATTGCAGTCAATTGTAGGTCTGGCTAGGGTTGGGGAATATTTTTGAACAAAAGTGATGTTTTTCTGGCCCCTTTTCCTAAGAGAGACAATGACACAAATCTGTTCACATAAATTAATGTTGCCTTTTTGAAGACTGCCCCATATGGCAGGAAGAAGTTTACATGCCAACATGTAGGCTGCCTCATGTGCTCCATCACTCCTTTTCATTGTATATTTGCACTAACAGGCACAGAATGGAGTAAATTCATTTTTCCATTTTTCAGGATGTTATTAATTGACCTATATACCTGCCAAGCTATGTAAGAAATTGCAGGGAATTGCAAATATGGGATGATCTTGCATCATTTGAAGAGGGGAGGTTTAAAAGAGATAATTTTAAATTTATCAAGATGGACAATGGATTCTTTCAGTGTTCCTCAAGTCACACAAATGGCTTACTTATTGGTAAGAATGATCCCAAAAGCTTTGGAAAATATGATAGAACACATAGGTGACATTAACAAGTATAATTTTTGTGAAGTTGGAGCAAAATCTGGATTGCAATAGGCTTAAGTGCAAAAGGAGAAGACAGTGAGTTTGACAAATAATTGGAGGAGCTTTGCGGTAAAGGGAGGAAAAAGATGGGCAGCAGCTGGAGGGTAAAGTGGGATCAGGAGAGGGTGGTCTTTGCTTTATAGTGGGAGAAATATAGTATTTTGTATGTTAGTGCGAAAAAAGATAAGAATGATACGTTGATAATGCAAAAGAAAGAGAGTTACTAGAGGAATGATCTTAGGTAAATGAGAGAGGGATGGAGCACATAAGTTATTGAGGGCGTTGCCTACTTCAGGAGCATGGAAAGAACACAGGAATAGGAAAGAGAGCAGAGCATCTGGGCCCAAGTGCAGGAGAATGGATAGATATGATGCTGGGAGCTCGTGGAGCTCTCTTCAAATTGCTTCAATTCTTAGCAAGATCAGAAGCAGGGTCATTGCTGAGAATGAAGGTGCAGAGATTTGGGAAGACCACAGGGTGGGAATGAGCCAACTGATGATGAGAGTCTTGGGGATAAGGGATGGCCCGAGTATCCTAGGCATCTCGTGGGGACTGACATGATAGACTGTCTCGATGATCCCAGATAGTTAATGGTGGCTGGGCTACAAGTGTTGGGGAGGAGAGTTTTCCAGAATTCTGGCTGTCCATCTTGATCTTTGCTGATGGAGACATAAGCCTGTCAGATGAATGAGTTATATCCAATGCAAAGACCCCTCTCTTGACTTATGACAACTATTATACACAATATAATTTCCCATTATACTAATATGAAAGTTGATTCTGCTGACTTAATGATTTTGATCAGACTTGCAGTGATTCTAGGCTGGTTGTTCTGTGGCTCTTAGAATAATAATGCAAGTGGAGTAAAACTGATTTTTTAAAAAGACCTTTACTACTAAATCTTGAAACAGCTGCTAAACACAATTTAGTGTTCTTAATTTTACAAAATTATTAATGCAGATAATTATTACAGTTAATAACAAAAATAATTCCTACCTCCTCAATGGGAACATGTTTGTGGTTACCAGAGGCAGTTCTCCATATCACACAACCTCATTGATTTATGTTCTTAAACCACATCTTTGATGAGAAGGGTCATGAGCAGAACATTTGAGAACACTTTAAAACAGCAGGGGCAAATCCAATCCAGAAACAAATGCATATAACAACTTTCTCCTAAGATAGGCATATCAGGTTTTTATCTTTAAATGGTGTTAATTTCAATCAAGGTTGACTGCTTAGTTGGTGAAGAGATGTCAGTAACCACTGATTTCGGAGTCCTGAGGAAACTCTTAGCTGTTGGCCAAAGTGGACCTAAAGGAAGCAAGAGTACAAAATGCCTTTAGGGTGACTTTTTCAATCCCTGCAGAATTCTTCAAGTGAAGCGGATGTTATTTAACAATCTGCTGTAGGTCATTTAACACATAATCTATCCACAAAAGGAAAGTCGTGCCATTCCAAAGCCAAAAGCAGGGAAAAATATGTCTTTATAGGATCAGTTCAAATTAATGCTGGCTGCTCTTGTAACTTTTAAATGTAAGACAGGATCTCAAATTAACAAATATGCAAATGCGTAAGAGATCAACTTTCCCCAGCTCTTCCGGAAAGACTGGGGAGAGAGAAAGGTGGGAAAAGACATTAAAAGGAGTAATGAAGCACATTTCCCTCTTTTGAAACATGTTCAGGCTCTGAGAGCATTTCTGTCCCGTCTGTAGATGAAGCAGCCCTGGAGTGAGCATGCATTGGATTTCCATGCAGTCAGGTGGGCAAGTGGCTGCCACCTTTTCATGGGGCTGCCAGTATTAATTTTTGTCTTTCTGAACTCATGGAAACAAATTATTACTAGGTGAAAATTTCCAGATGTAATAAAATCTTCAAGAAAAACTCTTATGAAGAAAAGACTGAGCAGTTGCAACTTAGTCCTCACTTATGGCTTTGGAGTATATTTTAAAAATTAAATGAAAAATTAAGTCAAGAACTGTGTCCATCCAAGTGTAACTTCACATTACTAGAGTTTCAGTCTCTATAGGACAAAGTGAGCATTTGTAAACTGGTTATAGTTTTCAGGATATAGTTTTCATAATAGTTAGATTCATGTTTTGTTTTTGATTTACCTGATGGGACAGGTGAGTTTAAGGAATCAACATATGATGGATGATTGTATCGATTCAATAGCATATTATTTACTTATATGCTCTTAAAATCAAATGATCACAGTGAAGTGAAAATTCGGTTCTAATACCCTGCACATCTATGGCAGTTATCAGTTAATTCACAGTTGTTTTCATCCGTTCATTCATCAAATAGTATTGTACTGTGCCATTTGTCAGGAAGTATGCAGAGTGCTGAAGAATGTAGCAGCAACCAAGGCAAACATGTTTCTTGCTTAAAAGCCATTCTGGAGTCAGGCAGACTGATATGAAACAAGCAATTATAACAAAGTGTGATAGATCTTTTGATAAGGCAAGTAGAGTTGTTATAGGAACACACAGGAAGAAACATATAGGAATGTGGAAAGAACAGTCTGGGGCTATAGTGAATAGTCAAGGAAGCCTTCCCCGGGGAAGTAAGCATGAGAGACTGGACTAAATACACTGGCATGCACAATGCACAGCAGCCCACATCTCTTCTTTGATCTTAGTGGAGGTGTTTCCACTCAGAGGCCATCAATGAGCAGTACCACCTATGGGCTAAAGTTCTGTAACCCTCTGTTCTTTAACTATAAGTTAACTCATAGTCTTTAGCTATAAGCCTTTCACCAGAGGACATTTTCCTTTTCTTTGCACACCCCCAATAACTGCAAAGAAAAGGAAAATACCCTCAGGTGAAAGACTTAAAGCAGATGTCCAGTGTCTGTGCACTCAGTGGACAGACACCTAGACATTCCTGTTTTCTGTCCAGCCAAGTCAAGAAATAGGCTGGGGTCATGATGACATCAGCTTATATTAATGGTGGGTGGAGGAAAATGAATCATTACACTACCCACTGGGCATATAAACTCTGGCACCAGCTCTGTTGCGTATTACTCCTTTTGTAAACTCATATGTGAAATTGAGATTATCTTCCTCTAGCTGCAAATAATTGAAATGTATTTTAATTGCTGATATTCTGTTATTCTATGTTAACACTGCCCAGGAAGAGCTATGTGCCCAAATGAGATGTCTGGACTAGCGGCCTCCTGAGGGCAGGTGTGATAGTCTTGGAGAGGCAAATTGAAGCACTTGATAAGGATGCTGAAGTAGGTAGTTGAAAAACAGTTTGGAGGTTTTTCTTTGCAGAAGCAAACAGCTTGGGAAGAATCAGGAAGAGTTGTTCCTGATTGGCAGGATTTGAGCAATCAACCCATTAGAAAGAAATCCTAAAGCAGGAACAGATGTTTAGGGTGGAAGGCATAAAGTCATGAAATGTGGGAATTTGGCTATGAGCCCAGAATAAAAGAAGTTGAAGAATTACATGCGGCACATCCAGAACACTGCTGTTTGGGAGATTTGAGTTGCTACAGGGGAAATTTCAAATGGAAACTCTCAAGTCAATCTTGATGGCAAAGGGCCCCATGTCTATAGAATGAAATAGTTCTCCCTTTGACTGAGTGCAGAAATTTAAGGGGAGTTGTAAGTTAGTTCCAGAAACCCATATGTCTGTATAGTTGTAGCAGAGCTGTTTTACCAGCTGTATGACAAAAAGAGTGGCTGAAAGAGACATTAAAAAAAAAAAAAAACTTCAACTGAGCTGAGTAATGATGTGAAATGGGAAGGAGCAGAAGTATTTGGTCTATGGAGAAGTAATAGTTGTAACATTCTGGATGGTGGCACCAAATTGTTATTTATATAAGGAGTCTCTCTCCCTGTCATGTTCTGGGTCCATGTGTCATCTCTAGCACCAAATCCAGCCACTACCCCAGTTCCAGTTAGTTTGGTACCATGATGATGACTTCATGGGGTCTGTTGGGTTATTCTATGTTGTGAGAGGAAGGAGACTTAGTGATCCACAATTGGTCCTCAGGGCTTGTCCATGGCCACCAGTAGACAGCTGGAAAGTAGGAAGTGCAACTTTAGATACCAGGAGACTATTTCAGGAACGGATCAAGGCACAGAAGTGTATATTACTGTATCTTCTTGAATGCAAAAGGCTGAATCTGTGTCATAGAAATAAAACAAGATAAAAACTTTCTACTTAATTGAACTTAACTGGAAATAAATATGTTTCCAGGAAAATACTTTCAACACAACAGTTCAACTCCTAGGGTAATCTTGTAAATCAAAAAGTTCTCTGGGCTCATGGTGGCCCTCTTTGGATATGTGTAAGGTGCCCCTTGGGCAAAGGGTGGAAGATGCTGCCTTCTATTCCCAAGCCAAAAGAGAAGGTCTTTCAGGAGGATCCTGTTTGAGCTTTGAAAGACATGTCTTGTGGTTGGGACATGCAGAGGACTGGAGCCAGGCTTAGGCTTGAGAAAGCTCAAGTGGATTATAGTCTTGGGTGGGTCTGACTGTAGGAGGCAATCAGAAGTGAAAGCTGAAGGTGCAGCTAAGAAAGCCATTTGCCTAGGACTGAGGAGTTGTCTGGGACATGGGACTTTCAGTAGTAAAATGGGTACAGTTTGGGACAAACTAGGATGGTTGGTTACCTAGGTGTTGTGCTGGGATTGAACTGCATTTCCAGCACTTGGAAGGGAAGGGTGGCCTGAGTGTTTCCTGTGGGCCTCCTCACATGGGAGAGAGAGCAGACATTGGGTTGTCTTGAGTCCTGTCCAGGAGGGCCACCTGGAGCAATGAGGGAACATCAGTAGAAAGTGTATTTCTTTTTTGGGAAATGGGGGTCTCACTCTGTCACCCTGGCTGGAGTGCAGTGGCGTGATCTCAGCTCATTGCTACCTTGGTCTCCACTCCAGAGCTCAAGCAATCCTCCAACCTCAGCCTCCCAAGTAGCTGGGACTACAGGCACACGCCACCATGCCTGGCTAATTTTTGCATTTTCCTGGCTAATTTTTGCATTTTTTGTAGAGATGGAGTTTTGCCATGTTGCCCAGGCTGGTCTTGAACTCTTGGACTCAAATGATCTGCCTGCCTTGGCCTCCCAAAGTGCTGGGATTATAGGCAGGAGCCACCGTGCCCAGCTAGGAAGTATTTTAAAGTATACTAATGAATTGAGAAAGAAAGCATTTTGAAGTTTACTCAGGAGTGGCATCTTAGAATAGATATTTATTTGGCCTAGTGGCAGTGCAATTATAGGACAGCAGGATCTAGCAGGGAACCTCTGAAGCCCATGTAAGCCTCCCTGGAGGGAGAAAGTCACCTTTATCAGTATGTAGGGTACCACCCAGGGTTACAGCTTTCACCACCTGGCAGGCGAGGGTGTGGAAAGCCACTCAACCGAGGCATAACTGATCTATCCTCACGCCCTTTTGCTTTGCCTCTGGCCTGGAGTGAAACAGCAGCTTGATGTGGAGTAGGGGCAGAAGTTCCTAAGGTGAAGTTGCAGAGAAGTGTCATACTTCCTTCCCTTTGCGGGAAAGGGAGAAGATATAATACTAAGTCAACTATGGCCTTTTGATATCTTGGACTGGACATTCTTTTTATTGCATTTGCTGCTGCAATGGCTTAAAGAAAGCTGAGTTTACTTATTACTCAAGGATCAGCAATAATGTCTCACAACAGTTTTCATCTAGAGGCAAAGGGGAATGATGTCCACTGAATGCAGTTTAAAAGGACCTGGGAGACAAAAATAACTAAGCTGTTATAGAAATTAGACTGCTAGTATCCTAATGAGAATATCTGCAATATATACAGAAAATGCCAGCTGATTTTGAGACAGTAGCTCCTAACCCTGTCAGTATAATTATATCCTGGATATCAAGCACGCTTCTGCTTTAGCTTTCTGTTTCCATTTGGAAGCACCCAGAGTTGATGTCTATGTGCACTGCTCTTTGGGCTCCTCACATTGGGTGAATCTGGTATTTTCAAGGCCATATTTCACAGCAGTCTGTAGGCTTTAACTTGCCATAGAAGCAAATTTGCAGGTATCTGGAAGGGCCCACACTTTTAGAAGGACAGCTAAAAAGCCTCCCTCTTTGCCAAAGAGGAGGCCAGACCATTTATCACAGCCAGAGGCAATGCATGAAATGACTGTAACAAACAAATGAGTGAGTGCCCAATAAATCACAGTAGCTTGATTAATCAATAAAGATATTGATTTTCTTAGTGATATTTCACATCCCTTTCCCCTCTCCCAACTAAGGGATTTATGCAGGCCACTGAAAGATAAATTTATCTTCCATTCTTTGGGGCTCGTATTTGTCCCAACGTAATAGGAATTGATCATTATCTAAATGTTGTTTTGGCTAGAATGTTGTAATTTGCTGTATTACGAAAATGTGTAGAGTTGCTTGTACAGGTACCATCATCTCTAGTTACGTGTTTTTATAATAGAGACTAATGTTTCATATCAGGGATCCCCTTGGAGCTCTCCTTTCCCAATTACATGCCAATAAGGAAACATAATACCAATTAATAGTAACTTTCCTACATAGAAGGGTCTATGCTGTGAAGATTGTTGTTTACCAGTTTTATGCACTCTCTATAAAAATCTTCCAGGAATGAGAAGGCCAGGTGCTGTGCTAGGATGCCTAGAGCATCAATTATTTCCTTCCAGAGGTTCCCAGTTCCACAGTGGGAAGCATGGCTTCCTTCTAAAACCCCTGCTTAGGTTGCATGTTTGTGTGCTGCTCCTGAGGTAGAAGAAAATAGGAGGGGAGATCGCTATCATTGGCACTGTCCAGGCACAGTACAGCTCCCTTCTGCTCCACACTGGTCTCCCTATCAGAAATGCTCAGCCTACCTCATGAAACTCGGGTAGCCACCTCATTCTCTCCTTGGCCAAAGGCAACCTTAGAAGATTCAGTACCAATTCATCCAAAGTTTAAGTTAGTGAAACCTAAAAGATGAGCAGTGCAATCACATGTGCTCTTTTTTAGCATGGAAAAGTGGCCCTGGATATTTGCTATTGGGTACCAGCAAATCACTTTTGCTTTTTTAAAAAAGCACAATCACTTTTGCTTTTTTAAAAAAGCACAATCACTTGTGCTTTTTTTAGTGTGGAAAGTGGCCCTGGATATTTGCTAGTGGGCACTGATCCCTCATAATGCTGATTATATATTACATACCTTTAGTTCTTTTAATTAAAAAATTCTTAGTCTATTAGCTGTTTTTAAATGTTTGACCATTCCTTTACATTCTGATGGGCATCTTTTTTTGTTTAATTTAAAAAACATTCCTTAAATCTCTTCCCAGTGTATAGTCTTTCCCTATGTGGTTCTATCCAATCCCATGATTTAAATACCATCTATGTGCTGGGGACTCTCAAATATATATCCATTGTGTTACCTGAGCCTCAGACTTACATTATCCAGCTGTTAATATTGAATCTCTACTTAGATGTTTCATAAATATCTATACGTTTGCATGTCCAAAATATTCATCTACCCTGAAACCTATTCTCAGCAGGAATTTTTCATTTCAGTGAGTAGCATCAGTACTGACACAGCTTTCTAAGCCAATAATTACTCAATCAAATACTCACAGAGTTGACAGAGATTTTAGAGGGTTAATCGAATTGTATTATGTTTAAAGTCCTTCAGCTTCTTTGTGCAGAACTTAGAAGATAATTCAAAATTCTTCTTGTGGTCTTCAAGGCCAAGTAAGATCTGATTCCTGCCTACTTCTCAGAGCTCTGTTCATCTGCTATACTCTGGCTACTTTAGCCTCCTTTCTTTCCTTGAACACACCAAGGTCTTTCCTGCCTCACAATCTTTTCCTTCCTATTCCCTCTGCTTGGAACTCATTTTACTCCATATTTCTTATCTCAGGTTAAATGTCGCTTCTTCAAAGATGTAATTTCTAACTTCTCTACTCAAAGTAGTTTATCCTCTTGTTATTCTCAAAACATCTTTATTTCCTGAAGATCACTAGTCTCAATATGTAATTATTTTGTTCATTTATTCTTGTGTTAATTTAGTGACTTCCCTAGTCTCTTCAAAAATATTTTTGAGGACAGCGACCACATCTCTCTTGTTGATCACTGAATTCTCAGTGCCTAGTTCAGCTACTGGCACCTACAGACACTCGATGTGTTCTTTGTTGAATACATAAACATAAAAAATAGTAAACAAACTTAGTGAACAACTAGCCTTCCCTCCCATCAAATGATTATCTAACAGCAAATAATTGATAATACTTTGTGCTGATGTGGGTGTGGGGCAATTGCATACTCAAGCATAGTTGATAGAACTATAAATAGATATAACTTTTCTGGAAGGCCATCTGGTAATAGAGAAATATAAGATGTGTATGCTGTATGATCCAGCAATACTACTTTTAGAAAATAATCACAAAAGGGGAAGAGATTTATGTCCACGGAGTGTATCATAGAGCTATTCATAATAGCACCAAATTGGAAACAACCCAAACATCCATTAAACTGGTTAAGTAAATTATAATACATACATACAATTGGATAATATGTGACTGTTACAAATGGTGTAGATCTATATTTATTGACATGGATGAATGTCCATGACATATTGTTGAGTAAAACTCTCAGATTACATATATTATGTATGTATATTATGATTCCCCTCATACAAAGTTGTTTATCTATATATACAGCTATATCTAGAGAGAAAATGGAAGGATGTTTATCCAAATGTTAGTTGTGGCTATATTACAGTAATAAAAATTCAAGTGATTTTTTCCTGAGTTGTATGGTTTTTACAAGAATGTATACTTTTTCTCCTAACAATAAAACTATCCATCAATATAACTACCTTACTTGACTTTATTTGCTCATATTTTATTGGCAATATTTAATATGTATCCATAAATAGGTTTTCTCTGTTTTATGGTTGGTTTGTTGGATTTTGGTAGCCTGTACTTGGTAGCAGATTTAGCTAGTTAAATTTAAAAAATAACTAGAATGAACTTTCTTATTTTGTTTTTTTTTCTATGCTTTAGAATAGTTTAAATACCACACGAATGATGAAATCATTAAACCATTAAAATATCCAGGTTAGATGCACAGAAGTGGGGGTGATTATATTTCTTTGAAAACACTTTAAATGTCTTCTGTAGTTACTAGACTATTCTGAATTACCACCTGTTCAATTAATCAGTTTTGGTGCTTTATGTATTCCTAGAAGGTTTTTTATTTTCAAAGATATTGAGAAAAGTTAAATAATCATATTACAAAAATAAAATATAATTTTGGCTATATAATTTTGTTTTCCCACTTTTTCTCAGTTAGCCTTACCAAGGTTGTATCTATTTTTGTGTGTTTGCTTCAAAGTAATACTCTTTGATTAATTGATTTTACTGAATTCCTATTTTCTAATTAATTTAGTTGAGTTTTTATTTTTATTAATAACATTCTAGTTTTCTTAAGTTTATTCTTTTCTAAGTTTTTGAGGTAAATATTTTGTTTACTTATTTTTATTCTGTTCTTTAAAAAGAGCAGACTAATGAATCTGTATTATGGAAAGCAAAAGTTAGTAAATCTTATTTCCAGTTTTCATATAGGTTCCTGCTGGTAAGAATGATCAAACAGAAGAAAATCAACAGGCAAAATGAAGATTTTATCATTTAAAACATGGGAGTCTATCTGGTAAAATTCAGATAAATGATTGTTTATTTTTTAAAAGTTTAGGAAACCGTTTACAATACTTTATTTTTTTCAGTGACATTCAGGAGGATGTTGCTTTCCTAAAACAACTGGGGTGATGTAGAAAGGGAGTAATGTAAGAACAGGAAAGATTTCTTAGTGTGTTTGTCTATTTAAAAAGGCAAGAGTGAACTGTAGATTGCATTCCATTAAAACTAAATTGCTTTAAGCCAAACTCAAAATTTTCTACATATTCTACAGGAATAGTATATGGAATTTCAGGAAAAGAGACATGGACATAGAGACAGAGACATCTAATATGTATATAACAAGAGATCCAATAAGCATATAATGTTGAAACTGCCTTTGCAATATTACCACAGAGGGAGAAATCTAACACAAGCTGATTTTATCTTGCTTCTAAACACACAAGCTAACTGTCCTGGGCATCAGCCAAGCTAACTATGGGAGGAATTTAGTTTATAGTTTAACTTTAAAGCAAGGATGATAATAGTGCCTTCCTGAAAAAAAGCCTTCTCCTTGTTTGGGGACACAAACTATCTCTGTAAAATTAATGAAAGGCCACAAGGTTAGAATTATGGGAGGTGCCTCAATTCTGCTAAGAACTATGCATAGTTAAGTGATATTCTGCCATTGTTCCCTAGCTTGCTTATTGCTCAGGAGTCAAGTAGCCACAGGCCACAAAATTTGCAGCTTCCCCAGTTGCTTCCATGGAAAAAATCATTATTGTAAAACCTAAGATTGGTTTTTGAGATATTTGTCAGACTTCTGCATTCTGGAGAACTGACTGATGCTACCTGGACCCATTCAGATCTGTAACTCAATTAGTCGATTCTATGACCTCCACCCAGAAACGGACTCAGCACAGAGAGAATTCCAACACTCCTATGATTTCATCCCCAACCAATCAGCAGCACCCATTCCCTAGCCCCCAATCCACCAAATTATTTTTGAAAACCCTAGCCTCCAAGCTGTTGGGGAGGTGGATTTGAGAATTATCTCCTGTCCTCACACTTGGCTGGCCCTGTGATCATTGAACTCTTTCCCTGCTACGGTACCTGCCATTCTCAGTGCAGTGGCTTTTTTGGGCTGTGGGCAAGGTGAACGTGTTAGGCTGTTACAATATGAGAAAACGGAAAATGAAGTAAAAATTGTCAAAGAAATTTGAAAACAATCTACAATGTTGAAGATTTAAGTATAAAGCAAAATGATGAAAGCTGACCTTCAGTTAGATAAGACCTATTGACATTTTGGAACTTTAAGGATAAATATGAAATCACTTTGTATTTAGGCAGAACAATTAGATTGTCTGTGATGGCAGAAACACAATGGCAAAACTCCTCTGTGATTCTCACTGGCTGAGAGTCCTTACTTCTACCACTTCTAAATGCACCCATGTTAGGAACAGTTAACATTCCCTGCTTTCTCCATTTACCATTTTGCTGATGCCAGGTGAAAGTCAGGGACGCTTCAGCTAAATCTGTGTGGATTCTGGAAACTGGCCACTTCCTGAGGCTTTACTGTGACAATTAGAACTGCCTTCTATAAGCTGATAACACTTTTCCGTTTCTGTTTTGATCTGTGGGGGTGGTGAAGGAGGCTAATTAAGTCATGTTGGGAGATTTTTTCCTTTACTCCCTGCACAGGGCTTTTTCATCATCTTTAGTGGTTGTTGTTTGGTAGTTCTTTGCTGCAGTATAGTTTAATTTGTGTTATTCTTTATGAAAATTCCTTAAAGCTGCTGGCATGTGGATGGCACTCTTGCTTAACTTCCAGTGATGATTGCTTATTTCTGTATTATTTTTAGCTGTTTGAGTGGGAATATGTGGCAGGAATGGAGTTAAGTACATGAACTCAGATTGCCAGGGCCAAAAGTCTTCAAGATGACTTCTTGTGGAGGCACTTGCTGTCTGTCAGGGCTCCGGTGTCCTACTTGTGGGAGGTGGGTAAGGGAAAGGATAGCTTTTGATTTAGGTGTGTGTCCCTGAGGCATTTTTTTCCCAAAGGGAAATCACCTGATTATTTTTTATATAATAAGTGCTATAATATATAATTTATGTATTTAAAATTTTATGAAACCTAACATATATTTTCTGAAACTTAAATATGTCTATTAATTGGTGTTTATTTAATTGTGAACATTTTATAAATTATTCTTACTTAAGTCAATGTTTTCCACTTAACCCCAAATTGGTCTCCAGTGTGTTTCTTTTGGCATTCTTTTCTTTTTTTTTTTTCACAAAATAAATACCAGATTTATGTAGTAAAGTCAAAAGAAATGTTTATTCTTCAGAATTTTTTTGCTAGAAAGGTCCCAAAATTTCTTGAACCCTTGGGAAGATCTTTCAATGGGAATAAAGAGCAAAAGAAAAAGACAATAACAATTTCTGTTGCTAAAAATCAGCCATCCATGCTTGTGCCTTTGGAATACTAGTTGTAAAACAACAACTACCACTCTACACAAAAGGCTAATCTGTGCCCTTTACATGGATTTGAAGCTATTCATAGGAAGAGGTAAATTGTTATCTTTCATGCAGTTCTAGGCATGAAATCTACCATCATGTTGGGCAAATATATAGTGTATTTTGGGAGAGACAATACCAGAAATTGTCAGTAAGGACGAGACACCAGGCACTGTATTTAGTATCCCTAAGACATACTTCAAGTTGTATCAGAATCATTGGAACAACAATGATTTTGATGAGACCAACTGCTTATGTACATTACACATACACACATGTCAATTATAATAGTTTTAGAAAGGTAAATTTGTGACTATAGAGACATGAATGGGACGCATTTTTAGCAATATTGTTTCCATTGACTCTGGTTTCTCAGAACACACATCAATTGCAGTCTTTTATGGTGATATGGCCGCTCTGTGCTAATTTCTCTAAAAACAAAAATTTGGGGGGCAGTTAAATCAAGGTCGAATTGTCCAAAGAAGCATTTGCCTACCAGATGCCATTGATCTCTTCTGTGCCTCTTTTCTGGAAAAACTTATGAGTAAAATGTTATCAATCTGATTCAAAGTTTTGTGAGGAATCAACTCATGTTAGTATCATTCTGGTTTGATGCATCCATTTCTATTTTCTGTATGGGTCTCTTTTGTTTTCTAGATTCTAAGATCAGATGAAATCCAGTGACAGCCAGTATCCCAAGACTAGCAAGAAATATGTACATAAAGATCATTTTTTTCTCTCATCAGTTGTAAATATCTGATCAAAGATAGCATATTGAATACATTGCCATTGAAATCTTTGAATTCAGATTCATGCTTAAAGGGTCATTCACCCGTGGGTCTCAGGGAGAAATAAAAAGGGCTCCAGGGTTGCCTGGCTCTGGGTTGGCACTACAGTTTTTAGAACAAGGGCTATGTTACTCTGGATATAAAACTGGAAATTCTGAGGGTGATGGAGTGAGACATCTAGGGATTTAACAAAATCTTCTGTACTCTTGTTTGTAAAGTCTATTAGAAACCTCGCATTGCTGCTTGATTCATCTCCTTTTATAAATAGGGTAGTTCTATCTGCACTTGGTGAGGCTTCAGGCTCACCAGAAGTCTGTAGTGTCATATTTTCCACCTCAGCTTCCTCATTTTTTATTTCAAATCTTTAGTGGTTCTTCATCTGCTCTAAGATCTTGAGCCATTGGTAATCAGGTTCTAGGTCCTCTCATCTGAACAAGAGGGTGGCAGGCAATATAAGAAATACCTGGAGAAAGAGAGGAGGAGCTTTGTGTGGACAGTTGAATGCCCAGTTCAATGCCTTGCGTTCTCCTGGGGCTCTGGCAGTGGCAGTGGTGAAACTGCCCCTATACACTTTATAAAATTAATCAGAGAAGAAGTGAGGGGGAGAAATGAAAATAAACCAAGCTTGCAGCATGATTGACATTAATCATGAAATCAGTGTGCTCTCTGACTTTCTTCCTCATAGTTGTGTGGTGCCTATTGTTGTAGAATAATGTAGACCATGTTACAAGATTATAGTTTCCTTTGACTGCTCTATAGATAACAATTTGAACATTATGAAATGGTGAATTTTTCCTTTGAGATATTATTTTATATCCTGCATACCAGTGAAACGACTGACGTCAGCTGGTCTGAGGGATTCCATTGATGCCAGCTGTCTGAGGAACTCCACAAGAAGCTGACTCATCAAAGAATGCAGTTTCCACGTCCTGATGATTTCATCCCCCTTACCCCAACCAATCAACAACCTCAATTCTCCAGCTCCTCGCTCTCCATGATCCTTAAAAAAACCCCAGCCCAGAACTTCTCAGGAAGATGGATTTGAAGGTCTTTTCACATCTTCTTGCTTGGCACCCCGCAATCATTAAACTCTTTCTCTGCTGCGTTCCTGCTGTCTCAGTGTAATTGATCTGTTACTGCACAGCAGGCATATGAATCTATTGGTCCTATAACAGTGATGTTTCTTTTTATCTAGGCTCTGGTCAGAAGGGCCCCACTGTGGTTATGATTCTCTGTGTAAGAATTTAAACTATGAATCAACTTGGAAAACATAAAAATCAAGATAAAGATCATTTGAAACTCTACTGAATAAAGAGCACATTCTTTATTACATAATGGGCAAATGTTATATCCATTTTGTTCTGGTAGAATTTTAAATTGTAATTCTCCACTCAGAGTTGAGGTAAGGCAGTCTCTGAAATTCCTATTATCTGTAATAAATTTTTGTGATATTCTGCTAAATATTAATAATATATTATGTGCATTTTATCATAGCATTTTTATTCCTTGGGCTTTGCTCAAGGGATTGATACTCTTAGTCCAGGTCTTTATATTGCGGTCAGTGAAAAACAAACCACCAAAGTCAATAATCTTGAGTTTTACAGCTTTTGGGAGCACAGATTGAATTCTCCACAGAGGAGATGACACTAATTCAGCTCTTGATGTAGGCAAGTTGATTCCTTGGCTTAAAGTCAGTGGAATCAAGCTTTGCTTTCCTTAGGTCCATTCTCCTCAATTTCAGCTTACATATCTCCACAGAAAAGAAAAAACTGTCAGTGCTATTTTGCCTTTTATGACAATATTAATACAAACCAAGGAGACAGGGACTGAGTCCTTCCCACCAAATTAACACAAAAACATTCTTTCCTTTGTGAACTGAAAACAACTACAGGTTGAGTATAATCCAAAAATCCAAAATCCCAAATGGTCCAAAATTCAAAATGCTTTGAGCAGCAATGTGACACTCACAGGAAATGCTCATTGGAGGATTTCAGATTTTGGATTGGGGTGCCCAATTGATAAGTATTGGCAAACTTTCCCAAATCCAAAAAAAAAAAAAAATTAAAATCCAAAACATATCAAGTCCTAAGCACATTGCATAGTTGTAAAACCTAAGTTTCCAAAACCTTGGGATGAGCCCTACAAAATTTAATCCTTGTTGAGTTCCCTTGGGTATGCAGTGAATTATTTCCTTACCTCTGAAATAATTTCTTAGTCTCCAGGATGGGTCCTTATAATGGGATCTGAATGGGAACCTCACTTCCCTGAATTCAGGCTGTTTGGTTGGGACTTTATAGAGATTGTAATCTGGTCTACATCTCCCTGGCCTCTTGCTGGAGTTCTCATTCCTGCAAATAGCCTCAGAACTATTGTCAGCTTCCCCTGGTACACATCTTTGCTGGATATTCTCCATTGATTCTTGAGATTCACTCTTTAGCCTTCTCTGTCCTCCTCTGTGCTCTTGCAGGCTGACATTTATGAACGTCATTGTCTGGTCATCCTTGCCCACTTTGGGTTTGGGCAATGGGAGGCATTGACAGAAATTGGAGTGAGGTTTGGGTACTTCTTTCCCAGACTCTCTTTTTGTTTGGGCATCTCTTGATGGTAGCTGCATTCCACTACTACAGACCACATCTCCTGTACAGCAGCTGCTGCTACAGGTCTCCCAGGCTCCAGCAAGAGTTCTAGCTCCCTCCTTGTCATAGGCTGAATAATGGCCCCCAATGATGTCTATATCCTAATTCCTGAAACCCATCAATATTATCTTATATGGAAAAAAGGTCTTTGCAGATGTGATTAAGTTAAGGGTCCTGAGATGGACAGTTTACTTTGGATTATTTAGCTGAGTCCTGAATGTGATTACAAGAATCTTATCTGTAAAAGAGAGAGATAGTGGGGCATTTGACTACACAAGGAAGAGAAAAAAGCCATGTGAAAGGAGCAGGGTCAGAGAGAGAAGTTGTACACTGCTAGCTTTGAAGATAGAGGGAGAGACCTGAGCCTAGGAATTCCAGTTCTAGATGCTGGAAAAGCCAAGGAAATGGATTATCTCTAGAGCCTTTGTAGGGAAAGCAGCCCTGCCAACAACTTGATTTTAGCTTTGTAAGCATCACTTTAGACTTCTGGTATTCAGAAAATAAGAGAAAAACTTTCTGTTGTTTTAAGCCACCGAGTTTGTGGTCAGATTTTTTTTTAGCAAGCCTAGTGTAAATTGTTCCACTGCTGTGAAATCCAGATTGCTTCTTGGCCCCTCAATTGGTCTCCCTTAATCTGCTCCCACCTTTGTGAGATGTCCCATTCATCACACTCTGTTGAGTTACCTTTTAGATCACGGCACTTGTGTCCTGTTGGTACCCTCACAGGTACACCTCCTTTGCTCTGCCAAGGCCAGGAAGATTATGGCTGGAAGTTCTCATTTAAGTTTCAGTGAGTTCCATGAGGGCAAGGACAATGGGTTTTGTTTTGTTGTGCCTGATTTTATAAATAGATTAATTAGTGTAGAAACATTATCAGCCTGCATTTGGGAAAAGTACCACTGGAGCAAGAGACAAAAGGATTCTTAAAGGCTGTCATTTACATTTATGCAAATATACCATATGATCTGAGCTACACATGATCTCACAAGTCTTATATAAATAGTCTTCATGTTGTCAAAGCAAGCGTTTACCTTGCCAACCATGATGTGAAAATGAAATAGTTCAATACTGAAAGAACTCATTTTTAAAATGTTTCAAATAGTATGTGTATTTTTTAACACAGACTTTCTGAACATATTTTCTTCTTTGTTGTTGTCTTATAAGTAACCAGTCTGGAAATGTAGGATTGTCAGAATACATTACACACACACAAACACTTACACACAGTCACACATATACTTGCACACAACATCTAACAGTTTATCTTGTGGTATTTTAGTCCTACTAAAGAAATTGAAAGTCAGTTTATGGTTTTGCAATTGTAGAACATAAGTATATTAAGTGATACTAAGTTGAGGTCCAGAATTAGTCTGTAAGCTGGCAAACTTCTACATTTATCCTCTTATAGCATAACAAAATGTGTTATCCTCTGTAGGATTGATTTAATAGCTTTTATAGATCTGAACCAAGCAATTATTTCCAAGCCCTAGCTATTCTGACCTTTCTCATCGTTGTTACCACCATAAAAAATATTTTGTACACAGTGCTGGGTACTGAACAGGTATCTTGAGCACACACTATCCCTAAACTCTAAACTTCAATCGTTGCTATATTCTTCTGTTCTGAACTGAAAGGTTTTCTAAGAGAAACTCAAAAGCAGTGGACAGGATTTGAAAGTACGTGAAAGAGGTACATGTTTTCAGTGAAATACTTATTTATCTTTCTTTCTACTTATGGGGCCCTTGATTGATAAATTTTCTACAGTCCTCCAAATAATAAAGTTTCTGCTACTTACATTAGCAATCGATTTCCACCTAACCATTCTCTTCAATATATTTTATTTCTTTATAGCACTTATTACCTGCAAAATTATCCCATATCATGCATTTATTTGTTTTTAAAATCTATCTTTTCCACAAGAATGTAAACCCCATGAGGACTGTTACCTACTGCATCCCTAGATGAAAGTTAGAAAGTGCTTGACGTGTGGTACAAATATGACCAAAAAAAAAAAAAAAAAAGATTAAATGAATCATGATGAAATCAACTTTGCTACTTAGGTGGTCAAATAAATAATGTCACAGGTTATTTTGGTGACAAATATATTTATAGCACTACATGTTGTTTTCTGAAAAGAAATTCCTTGGGAAAAAATAACTTACTATGTTGGACCAATAAGTATGTCTCAGATGTATTTCATCATCAAAGCAGATCTGGAGTCAAGGCAATGCACCATCCATCCACAGAAGTTCCATTGTCCAGGAGCCAGGGATGAGTGCTTGTTAACAGCAAAGCTTTACTTTAAACAATTTAAAAACATGCTATAACTCCCAGCTCTTGTATTCCCGAAGTGAGATCAAGGATTAGAAGGCTCCAAGAGTTTCCAATCTCCGTGGAAAATTGGCTGTCACATGGAACGAGATATATACTAACTGATTTTGCCGTGCAATTGGGTTCTTAATGAAAGCAGTATAAAACAAAACTGCATCCCTCTGTATTTCATTTGTGCATCTTGTACCTGGAATAAGATGTAACTGCTGTAAATCTTTGAGTTGGGTTCAATAAAGCAATAATACTGTGCTGTGCAAACTGACCATTTAGCTTAACAACTGATTTGTTACACCATTAACTTGTCCCTTGCCTTGTCTTAGGCCTCTTTGCTAACTGAGTAGTTGTTAACTACTGTAATTAACAGATTCTTCTAAGGGGAAAAACAGCTTAAACTGGGAAGTTGGTGATATCACTGATATCTTAAATGTGGGCATGGAATAATGCATAGATTTTAAAGTTATTAATGTTTCATCATGGAGGTATTGTAGGCCCTCAAAAATAGCTTTAGAAACGAAATCAGCTAAAGAAAAGGCATGTAGAATCATGTCAAGGCTTTGCAATTTGCACCTTACATGTCAGATTTCTTAGCTGCTACTTTAAAAGATCTCTGTAGTCAGATTACATGGTTTGGAAAATGTAGTACTATTATTAAGAGTAGCAGCCATGACATTTATTTTCTCTTATTGACCAGTATACTCTCCGATGTAAAAATATCCTTTACATCCTCTGAAGAAACACATGAAACTATGGAGATGGTCAATTCAGAATTAGAATAAGCTAATGGGAAGATGCAGTGTTGTCTGAGACACCCTGGGCACAGGAAAGAGAATGGATAACTTGAAGCCAGTCCTTAGAACTGGAACAGGGAATGAATGTGCTCTGCTGGTCTCAGGTAGTCCAGCCTGGACTTCAACATCAGAGATAATATTTCCACATCTATACGTAGTACAGCTTCATCAACCTCTAGAGAAATGTAATCCAAACGCTTCATCTTACACAGGAAACTCCATTGTGGTCTACTTTGAAATTTTTTAGTGTACAAAGGCCGTTTTCTTCTGCAAAGCACACTCATCTGAGTATTCTTTTAGAAAACAAGCTATCTGGCAGTTTTTGATATGTGATTTGCCAAGATCATATTAGTCTCCTCTTTCACAAAGATGTTAAGTGAAAAAAAATGAAGCCATAAAAATTTTGGAGGAAAATGCCCACAAATATTTCTATAATTCTGGGGTGAAGGGTATTTTTGAAAAGCTTCCTCAGCATGGCCCCAAAGGCAGAATTCACATTTGAAATGTTCATGCAATTCTACGGTATGAAAATTAAAAACAAACTTCTGAATGCAAAGCCACAATGTTAAAAGGCCAACTAAAAACTGCATAGAAATATTTCAGTGTAAAAAATACAGGTTAATATGCTGATGTATGACATGCCTGTAAATAAATAAGGAAAATAACCTAGATTCCCAATAGTAGGGGACTGATAAATAATTGACATTCATTAAATAAAATAAAAACATGTAGTCATGAAAAAATATAATTCTATATGGGACATGAAAAGATATTAATATTGATAAATGAGAAAGGCAGTTACACAGTAGACTGTACAATATGATAAATATATTTCTATTTTTACTAAAATTTAATGACTAGGACAACATTTTGGAAGGCTAAACAACAAAGTATTTGTAATGATCATCTCTGGTTGGTTGTATTTTAGGTAACTTTAAAATGTTACATCTAAAACAAGCATGAATTACTTATGTAAAACAATAAATAATTGCATAACAATGTATTAAAGACATGGCAGATATATCATAGGTGTCAGGCTGCTGCTTTTTTTCTCCTATTTTTTTTTTTATTTTGGATGAACTGTCATCAAAAGTCTTTGATGTACTGTAAATACCTTTGGAAACAACATTAAATCTTTCAGATTTCTGGGGACGTAAGTTGATATTTAAAGTTTGTGTGGATAGGTTATATGACAATCTAGTATGTGGAATTCTGCCACCTAGCAATTTCTAGATCAAGGGGAAAATGATGCAGCTGCTGCTTGTATCTGTGCACCACGGAGTACTTCAACCCAGAAATGATGCTGGCCATGAACCACCATTACTCACACTGGGCAATAAAGCTTCTGGCCATAAACTCCCTGCTCCTGCCATGGCTATGCTGATAGAGCTTTATGCCAGGAGCATAGTCAGAGGAATGACTACCAAAGACAATTACATAAAAAAGTGTGCTGCTACACTTTTACTAGGTTCTGTATCTGTCTCATTGTGGTCTACCACTGAGGTTCTAAGTAGGTATTGAATGAATCAATTCTTGCTCTTCCATGTCTTTCTCTAATTTTTTTTTTATCGCATAGAGGAAGTATGATATTATGTGTAACTAGACTATCAGTGTGGGCTCTGGAATCTATGTTCAAATTCTGGCACTGCCACTAACTAATGTGTAATCTTGGGCAAGTCACTTAACTTCTCTGTTCTTTGGTTTCCTTATCTGTAAAATGAAATTAATCTCAATCTTGTAGGATGAGAAGATCCAATGGGATAATATATGTAATGAACTTAAGACAGTGATTGATCCATAAGTCTACAGTGAATGTTAGCAATTATTATTGCCAGTATTCATAACCTGTTGAAAGCTCCCTAGTTTAGAGAATATGCTTGGTCATTGTACCATTTTGTAAGTAGCTGAAGAGGCTAGTTCATTCACATCCTTGGAGTTCTATGTGCTATCCACTTTATGTTCAGCCTTTTCAACAACCCTAGCAGCTTATATTAGTTTCTACTTTCGAAGTGAAAAAACTGAGCCTAATCAGGACTGTTCTTTTTCAATCCTTCATACTCCCTCCCTTTACACATCTTATATTGCTTCTGGTTATAACACTCCCAGAATTCACAGGTGGAGTCTTCCAACAATCCTCCTGCCACCTCCCCTCCCTTAGACCTGGTACTCTTCAAGGGGTTTTGAAGAGCATTGAATGAGTAGCATATAATACAAATTGCTGGTGGTTCTGCTCTGGCCTTTTACTGAAGTACTAATAAGTAGATTTTGCTCAATCTTGGTGAACAAGCCTTGTGCTGAGCTTTGTTTCTTCTTGATTTTGGGTATTGCCTTCTGCTCAACCTTCTCAGGACAGATGTCCTGCTGAACTTGTTTCTGTATCCTGCTGCCATACTACACCCATATAGACTGCCTGGCCAAACCTTTACCTATTGTGTACCTATTGCCTTTTCCTCCTCCCCATGCTCTGGTTTGTCCACTTGTAGGCCCTCCACTGACAAAAACCACCTGCTTACTTGAGCGTCTGCCTAATGGTTGCTGGCTCTTCAATGTGCCAGTGGCCAAGGCAGATTTTGTCTCTGCTGGAGTATTGTGGGATCAACAGCATGCTCCCTGTATTAGCTCTGTCAGAACTATGGGTCCTTCCAAATCTGTCCATCTTGCCAAAAACAAAGCTCTAGTTCTGGGATCTGAAGTCTGTTCATGTCGGAACCCTCTTAACTCCTTTAGTGGCCATTAATGCCAGCTGATAAGTGAATATTTCACCCCCATCCTATGAAGACAGATGTGGATTCCATCATGGAATTGACTTACCATTATCATAGGAGCATTTTCATATCTGTCCATGTGGAGAGCCTGTGAATCTGGGAATTTATCCATTTAGAAGATGCTTCTTGCTGCTGAATGGAGAAATAGTTTCAAATGGCCATTTCAACTCATACTCAAAAAAGCCAAAATGAGCACAGTTCACTTTGAAATAATAAAATTATTTATAAAATTGTATTGACATCTCAAACTTTTAATGTTTGAATATTTTTCATCAGCTGTTGAGATAAACATGCACATAGAAAGCAGAATTAACTAAATAGAAAAGTCAATTATCTGACTAGAATGGAAAACTGCATTATTTGAAATTCTCTTGCCTGTCTCCTATAAAAATGAAAACATGCAAAAATAACTTCTTATTTGCATATAAAATGCTACATAAAATTGGTCTACAGCTTATCTCATGCTGTTAACACAAAGAAAGGAGAAAATACGCATTTGTATGTACAGCTTATATTGGAAAGTCTTATTAAATCCAAATTATGCATTTCCATTCAGGAAAAACTTCTCCACTAATAGAAAACTGCAGCCATTTTGCTTGGTAAGACATTCCAAGGGTTCACATAGTAGGAAGTATTCCACTATGTTTCTACAAGCTGTTGGTTACATTCCAAAGAGAGTCGTTTGATTAAAATACCACTTACTACTTGGGATCCTGAGGTTGGAGAATCACTTGAACCCAGGAGGCGCAAGTTGCGGTGAACCAAGATCCCACTACTGGCCTCCAGCCTGGGTGACAGAGTGAGACCCTGTCTCAAAAACAAACAAACAAACAAAGAAACAAACACACTTAGCCTCCTGTGGAGTGTGGCTACACTACCGTGAAAGTGTCATCATTTTTGGGGCACGTAAATGTGAATCTGGGCAAACTCTTTAAATCAAGATCTCAGCTATAGACTGGATGATACCTTTAAAAGACAACTATAAGATATTTCTTGTTTACCTGAGTATACTTTGAATTTTATTTTTTTGTTATAAAAATTATCTTACTATTCGCTCATAGCATCCATACAGAAAATTGCACAACTTGCAAGTTTGTAGCATGATGAATTTTATGCTGCAAATATGTAATATCCACTCAGATAAAAAAAACGAACATTACCCTTCCAAAAGCACCCATCTTATTCCTTCCTTATAGAATCCCTACTTTCACAGTGGTAACCATCATCATGATTTTGAACTCTATAAATAAGTTTTGTCTATTCCTCCATATTTATGTAAATATAAAATTTATATATAAAAACACAATGTATTGTGTTTTTGTTTCTGGCTTTAAAAAAACTCAGTAGTATATTTTTGAGATCCATCCATGTTGTTATTTTTAGCAGTAGTCTTTTATATTTTTGTTATTTTGCTCTATAGTATTCTGTCATATGGATTTATCAGAATTGATATTTGCATTCTATTGTTGATATTTGAGTTGTTTTAATTTTTGCTATTACAGTTCTTTTGGAGCACATGTTGATGCATTTATTTTAGGAATTATATCAAGAGTAGAATTATTGGACATAAGGTATATGTATAATCAACTCTAATAATATTGACAAATAGTTTTCCAGTGTTTGGACCAGGTTACACTCTACAAGCTGTTCTAATTGCTTCACATCCTTGCCCACTGCCCACACCTAGTATGGTCAATCTTTTTAATTTCAGCTATTGTGGTGGATATGTAGTGGTATATTATTATCTATTTATATAATTATATAATTATTATTTTACTGATGACATCTGTTTATTTTACTGATGACTAATGATGTTGAGCAGTTATATGTTTTTTTGTGGCCCTTTGTAGCTCCTCTTTTCTGATGTGCCTATGTAAGTCTCTTGCCCAGTTTCTCTATTGCATTGTCTTTTTCTTGTTGGGTTTCAGGATTTCTGACTACAACTCCTTTGTTGGATAGATCCATTGTAAGTACACTCTTTCATTCTGTGGATTATCTTTAACTTCTTAGTTTTAAAGCTGCTTAACATAGCAATTATTTCCTTGATTTGGTCATTAGTAGTTTCTGTATCCTGTTTAAGAAATCTTTGCTTACCCAAAACCATTAAAATATCCCCTTATGTTTTCTTTTAAAAAATTGTGAAAAGAGTAGAGTCAAGATTAATTTATTTCAATATGGATATCTAATTGACCCAGTACTATTTGCTTTACCATTGTAAAGACCATTATTTCTCTAGTTTACTGTGGTGTTACCTGTGTTATAAATCAGGTGATTTGTATATGCATGGGTCTATTTCTGGATTTTTAAATTCTCCTGCTTTGGTCTCTCCATTTATCTCACTATCTTATTATACTTCTATGATAGGTGTATTAGATAGTAGGTCTAAAACTTAGTTCTTTCTAAAGATTGCCTTGACCACATTTAATCATTTGTATTTTCACATAAATTTTAAAATTATCTTGTGAATTTGCAAAAAAAAACCTGCTGAGATTTTAATTAGAATTGCCTTGTATATATAGATCAATTTGAGCAATACTGAATTTGCTATATCTCTTCACGGATTGAGGTCTTTAATTTCTTTCAATACTTTTTTGGTAAATTTTAATCTCAAGCTTATGCATATTTTTGTTAGATTTACTCCTTGATAGTTAATGTTTTGGTTCGTATTGAGAGTAGTTTGAGTTTTGACATTTTATTTTCAAATTGCTACTTTGGAGTTTTTAACTTTATTTTTTTCTTTTATATTTTTATATAATTTAAAACATTTTTATATTTATCTTCTACCAGTGAATATAAAAGTGACCATGTAAAATTTACTTTTTAATTCTAATAGTTTATCTGAAATGCTTTTGAAATATGTACATATAGAGTGATGCCATTTGCAGATGACAGCAGTTTTATTTTTTTCTTTCCAACTTTTATATCTTTTATTATATTTTTATTGACATAAGTTACCAGCTATGATTTTCTTTTACAATGTTGAAATAGATGTAATATGTAAAATAAATGATCTTTGTCTCATTCCTAATCTCAGAGGAATTATACCATATCTTCTATCAAAGGAAGAAAGCTTCATTCCATTTTTAATTTTCTAAGAACTGTTATCATATGTAGATGTTGACTTTTAAAAATGTTTTTCAGCATTCGTTAGGTGATTTTATGATTTTTCTCTTTTATCATGTCCATGTGATAATTTACAATGATTTTAGAATATTAAACCAAACTTGCATTCCATAAGTATAGCCAATGTGTTTTTTATTTTATTTCTTACATATTTTTTCAAGAAGTACTCCCTGGATTTGTCTGTGAATGTTTTATTCAAGAATTTGAGATCTCTGTTATTCATCTTACCACAGACAGAATGTCACTGCATGCCCCTGATCACTGGATTCCTAAAAGCTCTACTGCAGTGGTAGATCCCTGAGTCTTCATAGAGTTTATCTCCCAAACTCTGGAGCATGTGTGTCTTGCCAGCACCTCCAATGGACTAGCTATATTTTGCTCCTTTTGCCTGATCAGCATAATGTTATTAATATAATGGATCAATGTAAATATCTGAGATGTCCAGATTTCTATATTGTATACTGTATAATGCTAGGTGTTATACTATGTTGTTCTACTAAATAAATTTTCAGTATTCCTTAGGCATTCTGCAGTATCTATCTAGTTTTTGCAAGAGCTAGGTGAGTGAATTAAGCAGGGATTTAATAGGGACCATGACCCCTGCATCCTTTAGATCTTTACAATTGTTATCCATGGTATGAAATTTTGTTTTTGGTTTACCATCTTGCTATCTTCACTATCGAGATCTGTCCTTCTCACTTTACCAGTTGTTATAGTACTTGCAACCTTCAGATTCTCACAATTAGGCGCTACCACCTTGCATTTTGGTTTTAGGTCTCTTCATTCTCATTGATATTAATAAACCATGCTCTGTAACTACTGTCATCCCTGGCCTGCTGAGAAAAGCCACTGAGGACTTTCTTAGTGTTGCTGATGCCCATCTGCTAGCACATTCTTTATGGTCTTGGTGAATTGTTTGTCACTTGGGCTCTTCTGCAGAACATAATTCTCTTGTGGGTCTTCTGGGCTCATATAATATATTCATTCCACCAGGCTCACTTTACTCAGCTTCTTTACTTCCTTCTATGTCTGCTACAGTAACTCCAGCATTTCAACTTAGCTCAGTATGTGCTATCTTTTTTCCCCAGATTTCTAAGAGCCACTCTAGCAGAGAATTTGCCTCAACCTCTGGGGTCTTTGCCAGGGTGCTAAATCCTGTATTCCAAGAAAGTGCCTACAATTTAATGAATTCTTCATATCTCATCTTAAGTTCTAGCCTGCTTGATCAAGTACCCTTAATATCCAATCAAAAGATATTCTCCTGGCTCGTATCAGTACATGATAGCTAATTATTCCTTCTGACCTCAGGGTTTGGTCTCTGTTTTCTCCTATTAGGCCCAGCATTGTTCTGTACCAGGTTACACAGAGATTTAACTCTAGTTATTGGCCTGATGCCCAGCAGAGGTGTTGACAGATCCTGAAGAGCCTCCCCTTGCCTTATAGGGGAGAGGTCTCTGCAGTGTTTTTCTGCATAAGGAGAAGTGATATCTCTTAAAAAGTGAGGGTCTGGCTAGCTCTATAGTCTCTAAGGATTTATGGAAGTCTACAGAGCCAAAATCCTTGGGAGCAACCACCTAGGTGTCTTCATACCACATGTCAGGTCCCTAGATTTTCCCAACAGTATCCTGACATTAGCAAAGCAGGCTTCCCTTGCTTGAGCACTTAAACATTTCTACATCTCTGAAGTACCTCTACCTTTAATATCAGATTCTGAGTTTGCTTCTCAGCTGTTTCTGCTCTGTCATTTTAAGAGATAACAGCTCTCTGTCAACTATCAAAATGGCCCTCTCTAGCCTCAAAATTAGCCCTGTTTGTTAACTGTTAAACACTATAAGTCTCTTATTATCTCTCTTCTGGGTATCAATGCAACTGATTAATAAGAAGACATCTTAACTGTCCTCATATGTCTTATTTCCCCATATTTCTCAAATGCTAAAATCATCACACTGGAAAGGGTGTTTTTCACCCGTAGGACCTTTTTCCATGTTACTATGGGTGAATTCTTCAGCAATTGGATTACCATCTTGTGCCAAGGATTTACATGCCACTTAGGATGGGGTCTTCCACCAGCCAGTTGGCGAATAATTCAATCCCAGAATCTTATTTTATATTGAGATTTTACTGTATTTTCTTTTTTTTTTTTTTTTTAATTTTTTTTTTTTTTATTATACTCTAAGTTTTAGGGTACATGTGCACATTGTGCAGGTTAGTTACATATGTATACATGTGCCATGCTGGTGCGCTGCACCCACTAACGTGTCATCTAGCATTAGGTATATCTCCCAATGCTATCCCTCCCCCCTCCCCCCTCCCCCGACCCCACCACAGTCTTTTCTTTGATTACTCTCAGTAACAGCTGTGTCACTTTCAGTCTTCTGGGAAGCTGACTCCAAGACAGAATTTGAACTACAACAGGTTCATTGGGGGAAATCCTTGTGAAATATATAGGGATAGAGAGCAGGAGTAGGCAGACAGAGACTGTGATACAGATCTGATGCCTATTAGAGGAGAGGAGGAACAAATGAGGAGGATTCGGTGAAAAGAGTCTCAGACCAGTGCAGTTCTGAGATAGGCTCAGCTAGGCTGTTAGGGAGCTGCAGGGAAAAGAGTGCTTATTAGAAGGCTTCCACACTGGGCTGGAGCAGCCTGGGAGAGTATATGGCCTCAGCACCTAGTACTTCATTAGATTCCCCAAAGTGTGGCATTTGAAGGTTCTCTCTTGAAGGGAGATTATAGTGCATACCTCCTAGGCTGCCCTTGCTTTCATAGTAGCCATTTGCTGCCTTCAAACAGATGTTCTTATATTTTATCTATCTTTTCTAGTTGGTCCTAGTGGGAAGATTAATCTAACATACCATAGCCATAAGCACTCTTTAATCTGATTTTTTTTTTTTTTTGGAGGCTGGAGTGCAGTGGGATGATCACAGCTCACTGCATTTTTGACCTCCCGGGCTCAAGCGATTTTCCCATCTCAGCCTCCTGAGTAGCTGGGACTACAAGCGTGAACCACTATACCTGACTAATAGGGTTTTGCAATGTTGCAAAAAAGGTTGTTCTCGAACTCTTGAGCTCAAGTGATCCAACCACCTTGGTCTCCCAAAATGTTGGGACTACAGGCATAAGCCACTGTGCCCGCCCAAATCTTATTTATTTTAATAAAATGTTAAATATAGTTAGATATAAAAGATTGGCAGTCATGAACTGTTTCTATCTGGAAGTTATTTGGAAAATGACATAAACTTAGTCAAACAAGAAAGGGTAAAGACAGTATTTTGGTTGATAAGTTGGGTTTCTTTTTTCTTCTTTCTTAGTGGGGCAGAGCTTCTCTTGGACCTATTACCCAATGTAGCCTAACAGTCCACAAGAAACAGAACAACTATAGGGAGAAATACTGCTAGCTCATGAAATTTTCACCCTCAAATATCTTTTCTATTAGTCTTTCCTAGTTCTACCCTTCTAATTCCAGATTGATTTCTTCACTATTGAGGTTACCAATGGCTTTGTAATGACTTGATGTAGAGGAGGGATTATAGGAGGGCAGAGGGCATGTAAGTAATCTCTACCCATACAACACTGAGTCAGCTGAGGTCAAAAATTGTTTTTTAAAAATTCTTTGTTTATAGGTTGAAGTTCATAATATATATTCAGTTTCTGAAGTATTGAATGGAGAATGATGTACTTGGATAGGAGTAGGGCACAGTTCACTTAGGATGTATCTGGTAGTGACAGAAGAAACATGCAGTGACTTCTGGACTGTAGTTCTCTTCCTTTCATGAGCTTCTACACAGGGACATTTTATTATGGTAGCTAGTTGCTACCTGAAAGATACAAAAAGCCTAACTTTAAAGTGAGAAGAAATTGTGAGGTAAGTTTTGAAGATGGGGAGCATAATTATAAAAAGTATGAAATTACTGGGACACTGAATAGTGATGACAATGGTGCACTGGGTAATGGGGCAATGGTTAGTGGGAAATGTTAGAGAGAGAAATATGGTATAGTAAGAGTGGAATACTATGGATGGTTGTCCAAATCTGGCCCCCTGCCTGTTTGTGTAAATAAGGTTTTATTGGAACACAGCCACACCTGTTTGCCTGCACATTGCCTATGGCTGCTTTCATGCCACACAGCAGAGCTGAGTAGTTGCAAAAGCAGGAATCATTTACTGTCAGGCTCTTTACAGAAAATATTTATAACCTCAGAAGTGCTGGCTTACAGTAGCACGATGAAAACCAACATTACCAATTTCCAGTTTTGTCTCAAAACAGGAAGACTTGTTTAGAAATTTCTTTTAATGTAGCTCCAATATTTTGGCAACACTGGTTCTTACCTCTTTTACTCATCTAGATATTTCCTCCTCCTATAGCCTTTACTTTTTCCTGCTTCTTCCTTTTTCCTTCTTCATTTCCTTCTTCCATGGCATCTGCTTTCCTCACCTTCATGTCTTCTTTTTCTTTTTCTTTCCCCTGCCATCTTTTTCTTCTCTTTCTAGTTAAGACTCTTAATAATGCAACATTTCTGCTATGTTATTAATAACCTGTAAACAGGGTTGAGATTGCAGATCCAACATACTTAGCCTTTAATATGTCTTTGTTCAAGACTAGGATTTACAGTACCACGTGTTCCGAAGGCAAAGCACCAGTCTGCCCGCCTTTGAAGTGCAGAATCCTACAATGGATTTCACACTAAATCCACTCACATCACTCGCTTTGGCTGCATCTTGCTACACCAGTTTATGTGAGTGTCACCACCTGCAGTTTAAATAATGGACAATTTCACTGGCTCAGCAGAGCCTCTGGCTTTCATGTCATATTTCTTCCATGCCTCCTATAAAGAAATGCCTATTTTTTTTCTCCCCTAGGTTATTATAGATCTAGTCACTATTACAGAAGCACAATTTTCTAGTCCCTTCAGTTTTGCTTGTATTGATTTTTAGCTCTATTTTATTTACATTGCTTTTAAAGTAGTATGTGGGCATTTTCATTCATACAGGTGACTTGATAAAAGAACATTGTGCTGTTTGTACAGTAGTATCCCTTTTTCCAAGGGGGATATGTTCCCAGACCCTCGGTGGATCCTAAAACCATAGACAGTACCAAAATCTCTCTATATTATGTTTTTCCCTATACATACATACCTATGATACAGTGTAATTTATAAATTAGGAAGAGTAAGAGATTAACAACAATAATAAAATAAAACAATAATATAGTATAATGAAAGTTATGTGAATGTAGTCCTTCCTTCTCTCAAGATATCTTACTGTACCGCAGGTAACTAAAACCATGGAAAGTGAAATTGTGAATAAAGGGGGACTACTGTACTCAGCTGGCAATTTTTTCTCATTTGAAACCCTTATTTTTAATTCAGTAGTATGGCATTTTAAATTTAAGTAGTAAGTGCTTCCTGTAAGAGATTTTATTATTGCATGACTTAACATTATGATTACTAGCATTTATCATGAACTACCAAAATAAAGAGGATCTGTGGACTGTCAATTAAGTTAACCTAAGTTCAGCAGTACACAACTCTATGTTCCCACACATCTTGGCCTCACTTTCTATTCAATAAGCACCTGCTTTTTGCTTAGCAGATTGAAAAGAAGTCACACAGTATCACAAACTTTTTCTTAAGTCATTTTTGGAAAAAGTAATTATAAACAAAGAAAAAGTAAAATGCATAGTATAAGCAATTAGAGATTCTAACACAATTTAAAATAACATTATTTTTAGTAATATGCTCCTGTTAAAATTTCAGTGCAGTTCACATTAAAATGTTAAAGGGTATTTCAACTACTTAGGCAACAACGATATGCAAGATGTCCTCGTTGAATGTTCTATTGGACACTAATTTTAGAGGTGTTCATGAAGAGGCTTAACTGATGGTAGGTCTGGTGCATAAGAAGAAAACATTACTTTAGGGATGTTGCTTTTAGAATACTGAGAATTTCATGAAGATTCCAATTTGAAAGAGGGGTGGTCCAGAATGGTCATGCAAGATTAATTACTTCTTCTTCCATGGATTTCTGAACTTGCTTTGGCTAATGCCAAGCAATTTTTGGAGAAGCCAATAGGAGAGCTTCAGGCACCCAGTATGAACCAACATTGACCCTGAGAACCCCATGAACTCCCTCAAATAAAACAAGGTAACCTTTCTTAAACCCTTTAACTCCCTCGAATTAAACAAGGTCCCAGAAAATATTAATATTTATATGATTTCTATTTTTTTTAAGATGGAGTCTTGCTCTGTCTCCCAGGGTTGAGTGCAGTGGCACGATCTTGGCTCACTGCAACCTCTGCCTCCTGGGTTCAAGCAATTCTCCTGCCTCAGTCTCCTGAGTAGCTGGGATTACAGGCACGTGCCACCACATCCGGCTAATTTTTGTATTTTTAGTAGAGATGGGGTTTCGCCATGTTGGCCAGGCTCGTCTTGAACTCCTGACCTCAGGTGATTGCCCACCTCGGCCTCCCAAAGAGTTGGGATTACAGGTGTGAGCCATTGCGCCAGGCCAATTTCTAATTTTATATTTAAATATTGCTTTAATCAACATCCATGTCCATTATTTTTTCCCTAGACTAAACTCATAGAAATGGAACTTTGAGGTCAAAAAGTATACATATTTTTGAAGCTGTTGGCACTTGTTGCAGAAATGCACATTAGAAAATTTGTAACAATTTACTATTTAGAAAATTTGTAACAATTTACTATCTGCTAGCATTATATGAATTAAGGCATTCTATTCCGTACTCCTCATCCAACCTTGTGATGTTTATTACTTTTCAAAAGCATTTGTCAGCCTGATAAAGATGTTAATTTAATTAATTTATTATGTGCTTATTAGTATATTAATTTATGTATTATATTAATTTGTATATCTTTCATAATAGTATAGTCTATTTTTATATTTTTATGGCACATAAATATTTCAGACCTCTCTTGTGGCATTTCTTCAATTTGTTTAACTTTTTCATTGCTTTCCCATCATTCGTCTGTGTCTATCTGCTCTAATCTATGTTTAGAAGAACTTGTTCCAACATATAAGAGTGACAGTGTTGGTCAGACCAACAAAGCACTTTCTAATAGTTAGGATTATTCAGAAGTAGAATAAGGTATTTTTTGAGGCAGCAAACTTCTTGCTGGAAGCATCTATCTTTGGAGATTGCTCCAGTTGCTAGTGGTTTGGAATAAATCTTTCAGCTGTCAATTCTACTCCTGAAGCTCTAAGATCCCTTTGAATTTTCATACAAAACATTTTACACTTTGGTGCCTTGTTTGTTCCCTGAATGAATTAAAAAATTAATGTGTGTCCACATAGTTGAGTATAGTTTGGAAACACTTGTCCCTTTATAGGAAGTAAGAGCCAGTAAGATAACTTTTGGTAACTTACTTAAGCCTGGACTAATGTCCACCCGTAAACTCAGCAAGTGAGTTGCTCTTCTTCCATGGAAGCTTAGACAGCGACACAGCATGTGCAAAGCTTTGTTTTCATTTACACACCCATTTGAAATAATACAGTAAGGCAACACCAAAGGCAATTATCATTTTAACATGAAATGTAACATTAGTTTTTTCCACTTTCAACATAAACAGTGCATCTATAGTCTGCTTAACACTAAAAGGTAATTTGCTCCTAATGAACAGAAGAGTTGTAAAAAAAGCAGTGTCGTGATATAGGAAGAGTGGTGACTAACTGTTTTTAATGGAATTATGCATGCTTGATTCTTATTATCATAATTAGGTTTTCTCATGTTATGGGTTTTGTGGGTTTGTATTCTAGTAGAGTACTAAATCAATAGCAGCCTCATCGGGGTCTGGAAAAAAAGTTCAAGCCAAGTGAACTTTCCCATATGGATATAAAATAAACTGCCATAAATTAACATGAGAGTTTTTTTTCCATGCTCGTGTAGTGCCTGAATTCACCTTTTCTTTGCTCATGGATACAATTACATCATATTTGGAGAAGACAAAGTTACCAAAGTAAGAAAAAATGAATGTGCTGTCATGTCACCTTTTCTTATCGCTTTCCCTTTAATTCTTATTTTCTGCAAGTTAATTTGGAATCCTTGCTATGGTAGGATGAATTATTTTATAAGATGAGGCAAGAAAGGAAAAAATAAAAGTATATTAAAAAGATAAGTATATATAAAAAAGAAATTAAAAACACAGAGGCCAGGCTTTGCCTACAGGTCTCATTATATACCAAGGACTATTGCAAGCACTCTTCCAGTGATATAAAAAAAAATTCTCTTGGGGCACTTTTGTCATTTGGTTGGCTCTTGTATCACCATCATTTTGTATCATTAATGCCATCATAATGCAAACATAAATAGGGCCATCACTTAAGGTCTTATTCTGTATAAAATATGTTAAAATTGATGGATTTTTGAAATCACAGTTTGATGTGGATGCCAATGGTAGTGATAAATATTAGATCCTTACCTAATTAGGTCCTATTAGGACCAGTGTACCAGGGTCCTGGGCTTTGCCATTTACACATGTTACATGATCTCATTTAATTATCGGAACAATCTAATGAGGTAGATGCTATTATTAGAATCCATTTAATAGACGAGGAATCTGAGGCTCAGAGTAGTTTAATAACTTGACCAAATAAGAAATAGAATGGGGATAGGGGCTTAGTTCTAATTTCAGAGCCTATATTCTCTTTATTTTTTATTTTTTATTTTTTTTGGAGATGGAGTCTTGCTCTTTTGCCCAGTCTGGAGTGTGATGGCACAATCTGGGCTCACTGCAACCTCCACCTCCTGGGTTCAAGCGATTCTCCTGTCTCAGCCTCCCCAGCAGCTGGGACTACAGGCATGTGCCACTGTGCCTTGCTAATTTTTTGTTTTTGTATTTTTAGTAGAGACAGGGTTTTGCCATATTGGCCAGGCTGGTCTCGAACTCCTGACCTCAGGTGATCCACCCACCTTGGCCTCCCAAAGTGCTGGGATTACAGGTGTGAGCCACGGTGCCTGGGCCAGAGCCTATATTCTTCATCAGTATGATTTGTTAACTAGCCACCAACCATTCCAGAGGGTAAAACTTGAAAATTGACAAACATAAAGGAAACATGAAAAATTTAAACCGTGTATTCATTTAGAAAGTCAAGGGCTAAGCATGTAAGCAGATGAGAACACAGAATGGGACTTTGATAACAATGGTGATGGATCACATGGAATAAGCCACCATGGGCAGTACTGTTAACTAGGCTCCATTTCAACTTGGAATCTTCTCAAGTTTTCCTTTCATCCTTTCCCTATCCCTCTCTCCCTCCTTCTGTCCGTCCCTCCCTCCTTCCTTCCTTCCTTCCTTCCTTCCTTCCTTCCTTCCTTCCTTTCCTTCTTTTCCTTCCTTTCCTTCCTTTCCTTCCCTCCCTCCCTCCCTCCTTCCTACCTTCTTTCCTTCTTTCCTTCCTCAGGGAGATGTCCCCTAGAATTCAAAGGTCTTTGCTAAGTTTTAGTGATAATATTGAAGGTTTATCCCATGGTAATATCCTTGTCTGTATATTCTGTATATTATTCTTAAACTGTATACACGAAGCATAACGGTTTATATATATAAAAGTTGGCCAGAAGTTTTCAGTCACTCTCTCTAAAGCTCCCAGAAGTGAATTCAAGTTTCACAACATGAAAGAAGCTTGGAACATATTCAAGGAAGTCATTAAGGATTTATTAGAGCACAAATGCATCAACTTTTAGTTTTCTTAAAATGGGCTGTGAACTATAAAGGGCCCTAAAACTAAAATAGAAGCTGGAGGAAGAGATAACAGGGAGTAACTTATGTTAAATCAGGAGACAGGCTATTTGTAATTGTTCTAGAGATTGATCTGAAGTAGTGAAAGGAATATGGACAAAAAGGCTCACTTAGGTAGATTCTCATTCTGGTAAGATCAGTGACGAGTTAAATGATCTTGAGCAAGGTAAATAACCATGGTTCATCTGAAAAATGAAGTTGATAATGTATTCCTCATTGCATTTTTTGAGGGCTAAATATTTTAATATCTGTAACATATTTAATACTAAACAGTGCCTAGCAAATGAAAGATGCTGAATGACGGTTTCCACCTTCCTTTGCTTTTCATATCTTCCTGGTGGTGAAAATAAGATGCTCCTCACAAGCAGGAGACTGGTAACTGCTTGGTTCCAAAAAGTATTAGTCAATTTGTGAAAGATTATCAATAAAATTATAGGTAACATGCACTGAAGACATTGCATCCTTCCTGAGCAGTTCTGTGCTAGCTGTTCCTATATATAGCTCCTAATTCAAGCTTACAATGTGCTTGTAAGGTAGGTGCAATCATTCCCTACTTACAGAGGAGAAAAAGAATGTGTATAATATGCCCCAAATCACAAGTGCACACCTGGGCTTAACCAGGGCCAACATTCATATCCAGATATTATTAAACTATAAAATTAGTGTTCTTTCTACTCAAACACATACTTGCGTTAAAGACTATTTTACTAAGATGTTACTGGAAAATTTAGATTACAAGACTACATTTTGTTATTTACTTTATTTTTTCTAAGCTTTTAATTTTTTAAAATTTGGTTTTGTAATATTTGACTTATGTGTAGGAAAGTCATATGCATCATACATGGTTATGAAGCAAGATAACAAAAATACTTGTGAATCCATCCCTGACTTAAGAACTAAGACATCTCTGAACTTTTTTTTTGCAATTTAAAGATTTTGTTTCTTTATTTCTTCTAAAAAAAAATAAAGGGATACATGTGCAGAGCATGCAGACTTGTTACATAGGTATACATGTGGCATGGTGGTTTGCTGCACCTATTGACCCATCCTCTAAATTCTGTCTTCAGGCCGTGGTGTGTGTTGTTCCCCTCTCTGGGTCCATGTGTTCTCAATGTTCAACCCCCACTTATGAGTGAGAACATGCAGTATTTGGTTTTCTGTTCCTGTGTTAGTTTGCTGAGAACGATGGCTTCCAGCTTCATCCATGTCCCTGCAAATGACGGGATCTCATTCCTTTTTATGGCTGCATAGTATTCCATGGTGTATATGTGCCGCATTTTCTTTATCCAGTCTGTCACTGATGGGCATTTGGGTTGGTTCCATGTCTTTGCTATCATAAACAGTGCTGCAATAAACATACGTGTGCATGTGTCTTTATAGTAGAATGATTTATATTCCTTTGGGTATATACCCAGTAATGGGATTGCTGGGTCAAATGGTATTTCTGGTTCTAGATCCTTGAGGAATTTCGATACTGTCTTCCAGAATGGTTGAACTAATTTACATTCCCACCAACAGTGTAAAAGCATTCCTATTTTCCCACAGCCTCGCCAGCATCTATTGTTTCCGGACTTTTTAATAATGGCCATTCTGTCTGGTGTGAGATGGTATTTCATTGTGGTTTTGATTTGCATTTCTCTGATAATCAGTAACGTTGATCTTTTCTTCATATATTTGTTGGCATAAATGTCTTCTTTTGAGAAGTGTCTGTTCATATGCTTCACCCACTTTTGGATGGGGTTGTTTGTTTTTTTTTCTTGTAAATTTCTTTAAGTTCCTTGTAGATTATGGACATTTGCCCTTTGTCAGATGGGTAGATTGCAAAACTTTTCTCGCATTCTGTAGGTTGCCTGTTCACTCTGATGATAGTTTCTTTTGCTGTGCAGAAGCTCTTTAGTTTAATTAGATCCCATTTGTCAATTTTGGCTTTTGTTGCAATTGCTTTTGTTGCAATTGCTTTTGGTGTTTTAGTCATGAAGTCTTTGCCCATGCCTATGTCCTGAATGGTATTGCCTACATTTTCTTCTAGGATTTTCATGGTTTTGGATTTTACATTTAAGTCTTTAATCCATTTTTAATTAATTTTTGTATAAGGTGTAAGGAAGGGGTCCAGTTTCAGTTTTTTGCTTATGGCTAGCCTGTTTTCCCAGCACTGTTTACGGAATAGGAGATCCTTTCTCCTTTGCTTGTTTTTGTTAGGTTTGTTGAAGATCAGATGGTTGTAGATGTGTAGTGTTACTTCTGAGTTCTCTGTTCTGCTACCATTAGTCTATATGTCTGTTTTGGTACCAGCATCATGCTGTTTTGATTACTGTAGCCTTGTAATATAGTTTGAAGTCAGGTAGCATGATGCCTCCAGCTTTGTTCTTTTTGGTTAGGATTGTCTTGGCTATATGGGGTCTTCTTTGATTCCATATGAAATTTAAAATAGTTTTTTTCTAATTCTGTGAAGAATGTCAATGGTTGATGGGAATAGCATTGAAACTATAAATTACTTTGGGCTGTATGGCCATTTTCATGATATTGATTCTTCCTATCCATGAAGATGGAATGTTTTTGCATTTGTTTGTGTCCTCTCTTATTTCCTTGAGCAGTGGTTTGTGTTCCCCTTGAAGAAGTCCTTCACATCCCTTGTTAGCTGTATTCCTAGGCATTTTATTCACTTTGTAGTAATTGTGAATGGGAGTTCGTTCATGAATTGGCTCTCTGCTTGCCTATTGTTTGTGTAAAGGAATGCTTGTGATTTTTGCACACTGATTTTGTATTCTGAGACTTTGCTTAAGTAGCTTATCAGTCCAAGAAGTTTTGGGGCTGAGATGATGGGGTTTTCTAAATATACAATCAGGTTGTCTGCAAACAGAGACAACTTGACTTCCCCTCTTCCAATTTGAATACCCTTTATTTTTTTCTCTTGCCTGATTGTCCTGGCCAGAACTTCCAATACTATGTTGAATAGGAGTGGTGAGAGAGGGCATCCTTGTCTTGTACCTGATTTCAAAGGGAATGATTCCAGCTTTTTCCCATTCAATATGATATTGGCTGTGGGTTTGTTATAAATAGCTCTTATTATTTTGAGATGTTCCTTCAATACCTAGTTTATTGAGAGTTTTTAACATGAAGGGATGTTGAATTTTATTGAAGGCATTTTCTGCATCTATAGAGAAATAATCATGTAGTTTTTTTCTTTGGTTCTGTTTATGAGATAGATTACATTTATTGATTTGTGTATGTGGAAACAGCCTTGCATCCTAGGGATGAAGCTGATTTGATCATGGTGGATAAACTTTTTGATGTGCTGCTGGATTCAGTTTGCCAATATTATATTGAGGATTTTTGCATTGATGTTCAACAGGGATATTGGCCTGAAATTTTCTTTTTTTGTTGTGTCTCTTCCAGGTTTTGGTAAGAGGATGATGCTGGCTTCATAAAATGAGCTAGGGAGGAGTCCCTCCTTTTCAATTGTTCAGAATAGTCTCAGAAGGAATGGTAGCAGCTCCTCTTTGTATTTCTGGTAGAATTCAGCTGTGACTCTTTCTGGTCCTGGGCTTTTTTTTTTTTTTTTTTTTTTTGGTTGGTAGGCTATTAATTACTGCCTCGATTTCAGCGTTTGATATTGATCTATTCAGGGATTCAGTTTCTTCCTGGTTTAGTCTTGGGAGGGTATATGTGTCCAGGAATTTATCCATTTCGTCTAGATTTTCTAGTTTATTTATGTAGTGGTGTTTATAGTATTCTCTGATGGTAGTTTGTATTTCTGTGGGGTCAGTGTTGATATCCCCTTTATCATTTTTTATTGTGTCTATTTGATTCTTTCCTCTCTTCTTTATTAGACTAGCTAGTGGTCTTTCTATTTTGCTAATTTTTTTTTTTAAAAAAAAACAGCTCCTGGATTTGTTGATTTTTTGAAGGCTTTTTCATGTCTCTATCTCTTTCAGTTCTTTTCTGATCTTAGTTACTTCTTGTCTTCTGCTAGCTTTTGGATTAGTTTGCTTTTGTCTCTCTAGCTCTTTTAATTGTGATGTTAGGGTGTTGATTTGAGATCTTTCTACATTTCTGATGTGGGCATTTAGTGCTATAAATTTCCCTCTTAGTAATGCTTTAGCTGTGTCCCAGAGATTCTGGTACATTGTCTCTTTGTTCTAATTGGTTTCAAAGAACTTCTTGATTTCTGCCTTAATTTCATTATTTACTCAGGAGTCATTCAGAAGCAGGTTGTTCATTTCCATGAAATTGTGTGGTTTTAAGTGAGTTTCTTAATCCTGAGTTCTAATTTCATTGCACTGTGGTCTGAGAGACTGTTTGTTATGATTTCAGTTCTTTTGCATTTGCTGAGGAGTGTTTTACTTCCAATTATGTGGTTAATTTTAGAATAAGTGCCATGCGGCACTGAGAATAATGTATATTCTGTTGATTTGGGGTATAGAGTTCTGCAGATGCCTACTAAGTCCACTTAATCCAGAGCTGAGTTCAAGTCCTGAATAGCCTTGTTAATTTTTTATCTTGTTGATCTGTCTAATATTGACAGTGGGTGTTAAAGTCTCCCACTATTATTGTGTGGGAGTCTAAGTCTCTTTGTAGGTCCCTAAGAACTTGTTTTATGAATCTGAGTGCTCCTGTATTGGGTGCATACGTATTCAGAATAGTTAGCTATTTGGTTATTTTGCACACTAGTTCTTGCAGTTTCTTCGTAGTGTCATTGGTCTTTATATTTTTTTTGTTTTTGCAGTGGCTGGTACTGGTTTTTCCTTTCCATATTTAGTGCTTCTTTCAGGAGCTCTGGCAGGGCAGACCTGGTGGAAAAGAAATCCCTCAGCATTTGCTTCTCTGGAAAGGATTTTACTCCTCCTTCGCTTATGAAGCTTAGTTTGGCTGGATATGAAATTCTGGGTTGAAAATTCTTTTCTTTAAGGATGTTGAATATTGGCCCCCAATCTCTTCTGGCTTGTAGAGCTTCTGCTGAGAGGTCCACTGTTAGTCTGATCGGCCTCCCTTTGTAGATGACTTGGCCTTTCTCTCTCGCTGCCCTTAGCAGTTTTTCCTTCATTTTGACCTTGGAGAATCTGGTGATTATGTGTCTTGGGTTTATCTTCTCATGGAGTATCTTAATATTATTGTCTGTATTTCCTGAATTTGCATGTTAGCCTATCTCATTAGGTTGGGGAAGTTCTCCTGAATAATATCCTGAAGTGTGTTTTCTAGCTTGTTTCGATTCTCCCCGTCTCCTTCTGGTACTCCCATCCATCGGTCTTTTTATGAAGTCCCATATTCTTGTAGGCTTTGTTCGTTCCTTTTCATTCTTTTTTTTTTTCTCTATTCTTGTTTGCACATCTTATTTCAGTAAGGTGGTCTTCAGACTCTGATATCCTTTCTTCCACTTGTTCGATTCAGCTGTTGATACTTGTGTATGTTCCACGAAGTTCTTGTGCTGTGTGTTTCAGCTCCATCAAGTCGTTTATGTTCCTCTCTAAACTGCTTATTCTACTTAGCAGTTCCTCTAACATTTTATCAAGGTTCTTAGCTTCTTTGCATTGGGTTAGAACATGCTCCTTTAGCTCATAAAAATATGGAACGCTTCATGAATTTGCATGTCATCCTTGTGCAGGGGCCATGCTAATCTTCTCTGTATTGTTCCAATTTTAGTATATGTGCTGCCGAAGCAAGCACACATCTCTGAGCCCTTAAAACTTCTTGCCTGTTCCTCCCAGGTTCTTTCTCTTCGTTGTTTCCTTGCTTTTAAAAAAGTTTTTACATAAATATCTCTGAACAATGCTTAACTTTGTTTTTTAGCATTTTCAAAATTGTTTCATGCCATCTTCAGTCTTCTGTGTTTAATGTTTTGACTTAACATAATGTCTCTGAGATACTTTCATGTTATTGCTAATGGTTATATTCATTTTCATCACTACATCATCTTCTACTACATATGTTTTTCAAGTTTTATTTATCCATTGTTTAGATGGATATGGATTAATTTTTTAAAAAAATTATAACTGTAATACACAATGTTGAATACCTTTTGCTTAATGTTGTCTGTAAGACTTGGAAGTAATGTACTTATAAAAATTTTCTCAATCGAATGAGCACTAAATATTGGCTTATTGTGGTGTCAGGTTCATTTTCCTAATTATTAATGAGGGTGAACTTCTTTCTTAGTTTAAAAATACTGTTATTCTAAGTTCAGGGGAAAAGTGCAAGTTTGTTACATAGGTAAACGTGTATCATGGGGGTTTGTTGTACAGATTACTTCATCACCCAGGTATTAAGCCTAGTACTCATTAGTTATTTTCCCTGATCCTCTCCCTCCTCCCACCCTCCACCCTCTGAAAGTCCCCTGTGTGTATTGTTACCCTCCTCACCGTGTGTCCATGTGTTCTTATCTTTTAGTTCCCACTTATAAATGAGAACATGCAGTATTTGGTTTTCTTTTCCTGTGCTAGTTTGCTAAGGATAATGGCCTCCTGTTCCATCCATGTTCTTGTGAAGGACATGATCTCATTCTTCTTTATGGCTGTGTAGTATTCCATGGTGTATATATACCACATTTTCTTTATCCAGTCTATCATTGATGGGCATTTAGGTTGATTCCATGTCTTTGCTATGTTGAACAGTGCTGCAATAAACATATGTGTACATGTTTCTTTATAACAGAATGATTTATATTCCTTTGTGTATATACCCAGTAATGCAATTGCTCGGTCAAATGATGTTTTTGGCTTTAGGTCTTTGGGGAATCATTACACTGTATTCCACAATGACTGAACTAATGTATAAGCATTCTTTTTTCTCCACAACCTTGCCAGCAACTGTTAGTTTTTAACTTTTTAATAATAGCCATTCTGACTGTTGTTTGATGGTATCTCATTGTGGTTTGGATTTGCATTTCTCTAATGATCAGTGATGTTGACCTTTTTTCTTATGATTGTTGGCCACATTTATGTCTTCTTTTGAAAAGTGTGTGTTCATGTCCTTTGCCCACTTTTTAATATTTTTTATTGCTTGTAAATTGTTTAAAGTTCCTTATAGATGTTGGATATTAGACCTTTGTCAGATGCATAGCTTGCAAAAATTGTCTCTCATTCTGTAGGTTGCCTGTTTACTCTGTTGATAGTTTCTTTTGCTGTGCAGAAGCTCTTTAGTTTAATTTGATCCCATTTGTGATTTTTTGCATTTGTTTCAATTGCTTTTGTCATCTTCATCACGAAATCTTTAACCGTGCCTATGTCCTCAATGGTATTGCCTTGGTTGTCTTCCAGGGTTTTTATTGTTTTGGGTTTTACATTTAAGTCTTTAATCCATTAATCTGTCTTGAGTTAATTTTTGTATATGGTGTAAGGAAGGAGTCTAGTTTCAATCTTCTGCATATGGCCAGCCAGTTTTTCCAGCACCATTTATTGAATAGGGAATCCTTTTCCAATTGCTTGTTTTCATCATGTTTGTTGAACATCAGATAGTTTTTTCTCAGTTTATTGGCAGTTAGTAGTTTCTCTTCCATAAAATCACCTCTTCTTAGTTTTTGGCCATTTTTGATTGGATTTTTAGACTTTACAAACATTAATTTGAATGAGTTCTTAAGATATATTTGATATTAATCTCTGTTTGTCACGTGTTTAAAATATCTTCTCCTAGTGTTGATGTGCCTTTTTACTTTCTTTTCAATGCTTTGAAATGTATTATTATTCTTAATTTCTGTATAGTAGAAATTATCAATCTTTTATTGTATGGCTAGTATTTTTAATTTTGATGAGGTTCAGTTTATTAATTTTTTCCTTTTATGGATTTTGCTTTTGGTGTCAAGTCTTACAAATATTTGCCTAGCCCTATATCCTAAATTTTTGTGCAATTAAGTCTGTGATGCATTTTGAGTTAATCTTTTATAAGCTGTGAAGTTTAGGTTGCCTGTTTTTCCAATTGCTTCAGCACCATTTGTCAAAAGATTCTCCTTCCTCCACTGAATTGCTTCTGTACCTTTGTTAAGAATCAGCTGAGTGTATTTGTGTGAGTTTATTTTGGGGCTCTTTATACCCTTCCACTGATCTATGTGTCCATCCCTCCACTGATACCATGCTCTTGATTATTGTAGCTATAGAATAAACATCAATATTGGTTAAAGTGATTTCTTCCACTTTAAACCTCAATAGGATTTTGATAGGCATTGCATCAAACCTACATCTTCACCCTGTTGAGGCTTCCAATCCATGAACATAGTATGTCTCCACTTATTTAGAGCATTGACTGATTTCCTCAGTATTTTGTAATTTTTAGCATACAGATCCTGTACATGTCGTATTTAAAATACATCTAAGCGTTTCATTTTCTTGGAACAACTGTAAATGGAATGGTGATTCTGATTTTGGTTGCTGCATATTTATGTTTAGTATGTGGAAGTGTGACTGATTTTTCTGCATTGATCTGATATCCTTTGACCTTGCTGAACTCATTTGTTCATTCTAGGATCATTTTTGTAGATTTCTTGGGATACTCTATGTTGATAATTATGTCATCTACACATACAGACAGTCTTATTTTTTCCTTTCCAATTCGTATGCCTTTATTTTTTTGCCTTATTGCAGGGTCTAGGATTTCCAGTGCTATATTTTCTAAGAATTGTGAGAGCAGATATTGGACATTTTTACATTGTTTCCAATGTTGTAGGGAAAGCATTCAGCCTTTCACCATTAAACATGATGTTAGCTGCAGATGTAGATGCCCTTTATCAAGGTGAACTTAGCACCTATCTCTCTTTCCCTCACTTGCTGACAGTTTATAACATGAATGGTGTTGGATTTTGTGAAATGCTTTTGCCATGTCAGATGATATGACTAATTTGATTAGCATTTTTTGTATTAAAAGATCCTTTTCTATTTTGAGATCATAAGGATATTCTATTTTGTTTTCTAAAAGTTTTGAAGTTTTGCCTTTTACATTTATATATTTATTCCATTGGGAATTGATTTTGCCAATAGTGTGAGAAAGTGTGCAACTTAATTTTTATAAGGATTGCTGATTGTATCAGTTCTTTTATTGAATATATATCCTTTTGCCATATCTGTCATATGATTGGGTCTGTTTTGTTCTGTCACACTGACTGATCTCTCTGCTCTGGGCTAATATCATATAGCTCTACTTATCTTAGTTCTGTAAGCCTTGAGATTATGTTGGGCAAATCTCTGTACTGTATTCTTCATCAGAAGTTTCTCCCCTATTTTGTGATATTCATTTTCCGTATAAATTTTAGAATTTGCTACCATGTTTCTTGAAAAACCTATCGGAATTTTAATCTGTAAACAATTTATGGAAATTGACATCTTTTTGATATTGAGTTCTGATACTTTCCATGAAAATAATATTCCTATTTATTTAGAGATTCTTAAATATCTCTTATAATGTTAAAAAGTTTCTCCATAAATGTCTCATGCTTATTTTGTTTGATTTATTTCATGGTAGCTTGTTACCTTAAAGGGTTTTTTAAAAAGTAGCTTTTTAAAATAGTATCTTATTGCATAATATTTGTTTGTTGTTGATATATAACTAATTAATTTCTATGTATTAATCTCACATTCAAGCATTTTACTAGACACTTTTACTAGCTCTAATTTTTGGCAGATTATTTTGGGTCTTTAATGTGGAAATCATATTATATATGAATAAAGGGGGTTTTGTTGCTTCCTTTCCAGTCCTTTTCATTTTTTTTGCCCCTTTGTCCTTATTACACTGTCTATTATATCAAACAGAAGTGATGATAATAGACATTCTTTTCTTGTTCCTGATTTTAACTTACTTCACCGTTAAAATTTATATTTACTGTAAATTTTTGATAGACAAATTTTGTCAGGTTAAGAAAGCTTTGATTTTTATTCTGAGCTTTTAAAAAAAAACACACACAAATGGGTGTTAAGTTTACCAAATAGTTTCTACACATTGTGACATAATAACTTGTTTCTTTAATCTGGTAGATCATACATATAGATTTTTTTTGCCAGTGTAAACGTGTAAACCAACTTTTCCTTCTTGAAATTCATGTAACTTGATCATGATATATTATCTATCAATGCACTACCCTTAACCATCATTACCAGTCAATTGGAATCATCAAGTAAACTGGAAATTATTTACCAACTCTGACTTAAGTGAGCTTCTTTTATTCTCTCCTCCACCAGAAATAGTTCCATTTTAGTACACAGATTCTTCAATTCCAAAAGTACATACACAACATGAAATATAAATTGTTTACGTTTAAATTCAGGTAAAGGAGATATTTGCAAAAGAGACTTATTTTGCTGCATCTCCTTCAAATCATCCTATGTAGGTAAGTCTATTTAATCTGTTCAAAATTCAGGCCTGCTCAGAAGAGTTGGGTGTGGTTTAAAGCTCAAAGGAGCCCTCAGTTTGTGACTAAATGGACAGGCACAGGAAATATCCACAGGATAAACTAACAAGTGTCTGTTTTAACTCTAGAAACCAAATGGGGTCAGGCGCAGTGGCTCACACCTGTAATACCAGCACTTTGGGAGGCCAAGGTGGGCAGATCACTTGAGGTCAGGAATTCGAGAGCAGCCTGGTCAACATGTTGAAACCCTGTCTCTACTAAAAACACAATAATTAGCCAGGCAAGTGGGGTATGCCTGTGGTCCCAGCTACTTGAGAGTCTGAGAATCACTTGAACCCCAGAGGCAGAGGTTGTAGTGAGCAGAGATTGTGCCACTGCACTCCAGCCTTCCAACCAGGGCAAGAGAGTGAGACTCCAACCAAAAAAAAAAAAAAAAAAAGGAGAAGGAGGAAGAGGAGGAAAGCAAATGTTAAATTTTTTGAGTTTCTTCTGAGAGGATATCTTGTTTCTCTCTCTTTGTCCAGCATGTTGTCAGAAACTATGTGTTTTTCTAATTTTTGCACTTGATTCATTAGTAGCAGACTACACATGCTTAGCTCATGTGGGTTTCTGTTTCTGTGTTTTTCCTAAAAGGCAGAGGAGGAGGGAAGAGAAGTTCTGGGCTAAAGACCCAAGAGCCTTTCATTTAAAGGCTTATAGCCAAACTGCAAGCCTGTGGTGATCTAGACCAATTAAATCAGAAACACTGGAGTTGAGACTCAATTATTAATATATTACAAACCTCCCTGGGTGATTCCAATGTGCAGGAAATGAAGTGAATCAGTGTTTCCAGCTATCAGAGTCAAATGACCATTAATATGTATCTAAGGACATAGCAGACATTTTGTAAATATATTTATTCACCTAGTCTTGAGCCTCTTTAAATACAATGGAAAGGGAAGTGTTTTGATGTTTTACTCTAAAACTTTTACTATCTTGGAACTTTTCCTGTAGTAGACTAGCAATGAGAAAATCATGGAGGAGGCAGTGACAGCAGAATGACAAGAAAAAACACACAGAGGTGTGTATGTGCACACACACACACACACAGATTCAAATATTGCAAGTAAAAGGCGAGAAATTGGGGGGGGTCCATAATTTTCTACTATACTTTGGTGGTGAATGAGACATAAAAACCTTTTTTTTTCTACTGATCACAGCATGATTTTCTTTAGGTTCAAGCCCAGTGCTCTGAGTAAGTTGATTAGCTCCAACCAGGTGAATAGTTTCACTAAAGGTAACACTCTCCTCCCAGAGGAGAAATGCCATCTATAACCTGCCGTTGATTGAAGTGGCTGACCCTGTAGAACACACACACAAGTTCTACCCACCTTGTATCCTGCACCAACCCTGAAGCACAGGCACTTCCTGCAGGAGGCAAAGGAGAAGAAACAGCCTGCACTAACTGCTGGGCTTTGCAGGTGACAATAGCAAAGGTTTATTACAGTTTCTGAACATGTTAGAAAGTAAATCTCTATTGTAGATAGCCCTGCAAGTCCAAAACTGTAGGAGGTTTAGAAAAATATGGGTTTTAGCAGCAGGCGAAACAATGATGACAGCACTATAAGTCTAATGTTGAATTTTTCTAAGTTTCTTAAACATGACATTGGCCATGGGTCAATCATATGTTTCAGTCTTTAAAGAGATGGAAAAGATATTTTGTCCCCAGGTTCTTTTCTATGATGACTCCGATTGTACTGTGGCATTGTATAGTTGGTAGACTGAGTAGTAAGTAGTATAGATTTTCATTGTTATTAACCATCTATAATTCAATTTTTTTAGGAAGATGCAGAGTAAATTGTTAGTGAAAATTGTCTAGAGCCTGATACTATGGACTTTTGAAGTTTGTTTCTGCTGCATACCAAAGTGATGTCTTCCACATCAACTTCAAGCCATGAAAAGTTACACAAAAAGGACTTCATGTATACTTTCTCTGTGGTATTCGTCATCACTCATTCAGGCAATATTGACTGGTTCCTCTTCTGGGCAGGCTTTGTGCTGGGAAATGGAGAAAATGCAAAGGGACATATGTGAAACAGTCCCTGATATTAAGGAGGAAGAGACACTCAAATAACTTTGAGATTGTAGTTACTGTACAGCTAGGACATAGGTGAAAAGCAACAAAGCAAGGCATTCAAATGTTCATTTATATGATAACACAAACCCATATGTTTGAAATAATCGGTGTGACAATCAGAATCTCTCAGTTTCCATCTGGATATCTGTTGTATTGTCAACACTGCCCAATTTTGAGGGTCATTTGGTTTTGTAGCATGATAGATTCTTTCAAGTTCATTTGTTTCCTTTCTCGTAACATGTGTTGCTGCAGCTCCAATAATACCCTTTTGATGATATCACAGATGATGATTCATCCTTAGGTCTTATTCACTCAACACACTAGGCTACACTGGCACAAATCCTCATTTCATTTTTGCTACCTAATTGGAAAACTACTGTCAAATACTTCAAGAAGGAGAAAGAAACCTCAGGAGAATTAGGTGATAATATTATTCAGCGCTATCTATTGAGAGCATTTATCTAATCAAAACAAAAGATGTAACACCTGGTATGTATCTAGCACTTTCCCCTGCTGGTGCAGATGGATGCAGCCAGCTTGAGCTCTGAAATCTCTTCCATCCCTGAGTAGTCCCTGAGTGGTGGTTTGAGCCAGGCAGTGAGGGGGAGAAGCGGACCAGGCCAGCTCAGCTCAGCAAGATCTCACAGCTGCCTGGCAAGTCACTTTGATGTGCTGTGCCTTTGAAGTCAATTCTTTCGTATGGGGCACTCTTCTCACCAGTCTTTTTCTTAGCCCCTGCAGTTTATCAGAGGGAGAAGAGTCCTCCAATAATTACTTCTTTGAGGGAGGCAGAGAAAAGTGAGACATGGAAGGAAGAAAACAAAGACAGGGAGAGAGTGAGAGAGCAAGAAAGCTAGAACTAGGGAGTGAATATTAAAGGCAGTTGGCATTTGAATTTACCTTGCCTATATTTTAGTTGAAACATCTACCCTTAAGCTGGGTTTAGCTTTATAGGTGCTTTTTCGGAAGGAGGGAGGAATTTTATACTCTTACATCTACCTTCTTGGGCCTGTTTGATGCTAATAAGAATACTGTTAGCTTGTGTTTTAAAATGTCTTCTTAAAAGAAGTCTTGAGTTTGCTTGAGTATCTTTATTTCACTAATTTTAGAAACTCTTTTAGAAACTGTAGGCACACCACTGCCAATATCCTCATCTGTAAAATGGGGTTAATAGCGGTAACTTTTTCATGAAGTTATGATGAGGAGGAGATGAACTAAGATTTGTAAAGTGCTTAAAAGTATGCCTTGCAAAGGAAATGCTATGTAAGCATTTATTAAATAGAATAATAAAGAATGATTTAAAAATAAAATATAAAAAAACAAATAAGAATAAAAACCAAAAGGGTAAGTTAGATTGTTCATCATTTAATCCTGATCTATGTTGATTTATTTTTAAAATTAGGTTGATTACTCTAGTGAAGTCAGTGTAGTGTCTGTCCCCTCTTTCCATAGCTGGATGATGCAGAAATTCCATATTGGTGCCACATCTTATAGATAACTCAGAAGACACTTGTTTTAGTTATTTCTAAGCCTCAGGCTTTTGACTTCTGTGGAGCTAAGGAGGACACCTGTCCTTAGCTACTTAGATTTTAGCAAGAATATTATTGCATTGTCTGGTGGTTTGGCTCAGACATGGCCTAGAGTAGAGAATGACTGCCTGATATGGTTTGGATGTTTGTCCCCTCCAAAGCTCATGTTGAAATGTAATTGTCAGTGTTGGAAGTGGGGCCTGGTGGGAGGTGGCTGGGTCATGGGGGCAGATCCCTCTTGAATAGCCTGGTGCCCAACTCGAGGTAAAAAGTGAGTTGTTACTCTGAGTTCACAGGAAAGCTGGTTGTTTAAAGGAGCCTGGAACCCCCTCCTCTCTCTCGCTTCCTCTCTCACTGTGGGATATGCTGGCTCTCCCTTTAGCTCCTGCCATGATTACAAGCTCCTTGAGTCCTCACCAGAAGCAGATGCTGGCATCAGACTTCCTGTACGGCCTGTGGAATCGTGAGCCAGAAACACCTCTCTATTTTCTTTATAAATTACCTGGTTTCAGGTATTTCTTTATAGCAATGCAAATGGACTAACACACTACCTTTATTCTGTGAAAAGTTTCTCTGGCTTGAAATATGGTGAACAACATCATTTGTCCCTTATTCCAGGAAGAAATTCAAAATCCTTTCAGATTCCATGTATTCTTTCTATATTTCTGTTGCGTCTCTTACCATGTACAGCTGACTCTTGAAAAATGTAAGGGTTAGGGTCACTGACCCCTGTGTAGTTGAAAATCCCGGCATAAATTTTGGCTGCTCTTACCTACTTAATACTTAACTACTAATAGCTTACTATTGGCCAGAGGCCTTACTGAAAACATGAACAGTTGGTTAACACATATATTTTGTATGTTATATGTATGATAGAGTGCATTCCTAAAATAAAGTAAGCTAGAGAAAAGAAAATGTTATTAAGAAAATTGTAAGGAAGAGAATATATGTTTACTATCCATTAAGTGGAAAATCTTCATTTTCAAGGGTGGCAGAGGCATAATAAAAACCATGTATAAATGGATCCTTGCAATTCAAACCCATGTTGTTAAGGGTCAACTGTATTTCAGAAGCAATGCCAAAATAAAGCACTTGCCTCCTTTGACTGAAAATGTGCATTAATCATCACCCTTTCAGCAGAACCTGACCTGAAATGCCCCGTGACAGAATTTTTGCTGCTGTTTTATTTTTGGTTGTTTTTTGCAACAGGCTAAAAATATTAAGGCTGTAGAAATTTACTCAGGGTTAGGGCTGTTGATCATATCATTGCTTGCCTTAGGTTGCCTGACATCTCAGTTTATGACTTGTATTCAGGTTTTAGGGACTGGTATGCCATTTACTGTTGTCAATGGACATGGGCTGAAAGACTGACTTGGAATTTATGAAATAATTTCAGTTTCCTGGTTACCAAACTAACTAATTATTAATTGAATTAGGGTTTCAATACAGAGGAAATTGTACCAAATCTGTACATTCAAAATCTTGAGAATACGTTAAGTCTATCAAAAAAAATAGCTGTGGGCATTTCCATTTTTTAAACTGTTATCTTAGAAGCAAAGAAAATAAATAATTATTGTCTTTAATAATAATGATTACTAAATATTCTTATAATATTGAATTCTTAGAACAACAGTATAAATGTAATTTAGGAACTTAGGTGATCTATGTGCACACCTATGGGTATGTTAATACCACATGAATTAAATTTTATGACACCTTTATGATGTATCTGATATTTCAATATTTTCTAATGGAAAAATTACCATAAGATGTTATTCTGGGTTACAGTGTTGACCAGGTGGCTGATTTCCTACTCATCACACTGTCTTCTATGAACAAGTACAAGAGCAACTGGAACAACTACTACAATGTATTCAGTGATGACCCTGTGTCAGAGAGTGTGCTAAGTACATTAGTAACACATTCTCTCATTTAACCCTCATAGCAACCCCATGAGGTAGTTCTCATTATCTTTATTCTAGTGATGAAGGAATCAGGACTCAGGTAACTCAATCATACAGATAGTAAGAGACAGAGATGAAATTTGAATCTAGGCTATGTCAAGACGGCACCCACACTTTTAATCACTAGGCTAAGTTTGCTTCCTCAGTGACAAAATTGCCCCTTTTCTGTATTGAGAGAGTTGTCCAAAACTGTTGGGACATGTGCCAAGACTAGTGTGTTAGTTTGCTTGCTGTGACAAAGAGTACTGGCCGTAAGAGTTAAAAGGAATCTAAATCCCATCTATCTAGAACTCTTTTGAAGTGTCCACATTCACATTTGCTCTTCATGGTTTTTAAAGACTTTGTTAAAGTCATTCATTTTCAATGTATATGAAGAAGTTCCTTACTGAAGAGAATCTATCCCAAGGACATATGTGGACATAGCATCAAATTTTAATAGATATGAGTGCAAACAGTCCACATATCAGTTGCTTGAGGTCATCTTTCAGAAGCCAAGGGTTGGCCATGCCTCTTCCCAATGACCCCCAGCAAAGCCCCTCATTTCCCCCACATCATCTTCTCTAGAGTGGCAGGAGGCCAACTGGGTGTGTCGTAATGAGCAAGTTTGTCCTGTGTTATGAGCGTGAAGAATTAAGGAAAGCTGCAGAGTTGAATTCATACTGGTATTAATATGGTCTATTTTCACAAAGAGAATATGCATAAGTATGTAGCTGGAGAAGAGATTACTCAGAGCAGGCAGGTCTATTAGAAAAAAGTGGGAAGGGAATAATAACAATACTGCAACTATATAAATAAAAACTTTTTATGCACCTGGGAGAAAATAACAATAGTAATGGCAATTATTTTAAGTGAAAACTTTCTATCTACCTGTTTTTTTTTTCTACAGGCACATTATTTCATTTAACTATAATCACAACACTTTGAGCTGTCAGTCATTTGGTTCATTTTTCTAAAGGAGGAAATGGAGATTGAGGGTTATTAGGCATTTTACCCAGTGATACACGGCAGAGCCAGAATTCAAATCTAGGCATGCCTAACTCAAAAGCACAGGTTTTTTCAACTAAAGCCTCCTCAGTCATATTTAGCTGAATGCATAGAAGCAGTGCTGCAAGTTAACTCGTGGCTTCAGAGAACACCACTAATAGAGCTGTTTTGTGTGGTCAATAATGAAAATAATTTTGAAGAAAGCTGATCATGGGTATAGGGAACAAACCAAAAGAGAGCTCTCATCTAAATGTTAAAAAATTAACTTATATTTTATATTAGTTTTACTTTTTCCCCACAAGGAGCAAAGTTTCTTCAGGAAAGAGACCATGAAGGAAGAAAACTATTAACATGATGACCAACAAATGCTGAAAAATATGTCATCTAGAAAGAATTATTTTTCCAGGACGAATCCGTAATATGACTTTTCTGGACATTGAAAAAATTCAATATGCAAGAGGAATGTGGTGTAAAGTAGAATTTAGAATTCAGTAATAGAGGGAGTTAGAGTGGTGAGGGAAACTATATCCCCCTTGCTATTAGCATAGATCACTGCACTCCCAATGCTTTATTATGTATTTCCTATAAACAAAATGCTGTTATATACAACCACAATATAATTATAAAAATCAAGAAGCTAAGACAGGTACGTTGACTAACTGAGCAATATCTATGTAATACTCAGACCCTATTCGAGTTTTGCCAGTTGTGTCAGTAATGTCCTTTACAGAAGAAGAATCCAGTTAAGAATCACACATTGAGTTTCTTTTTAGTTTCTTTAGTTGTGTCTCTTTAGTTTGTTTTTGTTGGAAACAGTTTCTTTCTCTTTCTTTTCTTTTCATTTTGGGATCTTGACATTTTTTAAGGTTGTAGACCAGTTATTTTGCACATTTCCATTCACTTTTGGGATTCTTAGACATTTCATTATAGTCTGATTCCAATTATGTACCTTTGACAGCAGCATCACTGAGGTGATCCTGTGATCCACACAGTTATCAGGTGGTACAAAATTTGTTCTCTCTGATCACTTGATTGAGGTGGTGTCTGCCAGGCCTCTCCTTTCAGAACTTACTTTTCACCTTTGTAAGTAATAAGTGTTTCATGAAGAAGCACTTTGAAGCTATGTAAATATCCCATTTGTGGTTAAACTTTTTTCATTTATGTATATCTCTACATATTCGTGGGTTCCTATTTTATTGAATGGTTTATAATCCATCACAATCATTTGTTCAATGCTAAAATAATCCCAGACTTTTCGGTGGCTCCGGTGTTATTCTGTCCCCATATAATATGGTTTGGCTGTCTCCCCACCCAGATGTCACCTTGAATTGTAATAATCCCCACGTGTCAAGTGTGGGACCAGGTGGAGATAATTGAGTCATTGGGGTGGTTTTCCCCATATTGTTCTTGTAGTAATGAATAAGTCTCACGAGATCTGATGGTTTTATAAACGGGAGGTCCCCTGCAGAAGCTCTCTTGCCTGTTGCCAAGTAAGATGCATCTTTGTTCCTTGTTTGCCTTCAGCAATGATTGTGAGGCCTCCTCAGCCATGTGAGACTGTGAGTCCATTAAACCTTTTTTCTTTATAAATTACCCACTCTCGGGTACATCTTTATTAGTAGCATGAGAACAGACTAATACACCACCTTTCTTTGAGCACTTCCTTGTTTTCTGGACAAAATGTTCCAGACTCATTTTACTTTCCCTGCCCAAACTAGCTATCAGCCATTTCTCCATGGATTTCTGGTTCCTTTTAGTGGAGACTAGCACTTAGAAGCTAAGATCTGGGCACTTGGGGTGCTCATTGCTATTGGGGTATCAGTGCTCTAGGCCCTCACAGTGGACACACACACACATAGGCAAACACACACATACCTACACACTTGCATTTACATTTTTTGCTATGCCTCATCTATCTCTCAAGCTAGCTAACTAACTAGCTATGGAAAATCATAAACTCACACTGATCCTACCAACATTAATTCAGCTCTACAGGTTTGTTCTAGTTTTCTCACATTTTGTTTTTGTAATTCTTATGCTGAAAACAAACAAACAAACAAACTTGGTTTTCATTATCTTTAATGTATTTATGTGATCACTTCCCCTGTATGTAACACATTTTCAATGGCTACACCACCTCTCTCCCCTGCTCACATGCCTTTCTTATTCCACCTGGGCTCTGCCTCCTTCTACCAGGTTGTTCTCCACCCTGCTTGGGTGCTGGCTCCCCATGCCTGGCCACCCCCCACTCCATGTGCTGTCTTCCTCATATGGCCTAGGCTCTGCTACCCTAAGCTGGGCAGCCCCCCAGTGGATGCCCTCCTCACACTGCTCAGTGTCTGATTGTCCACCCTGGGCATCCCTCTGCATGGTCACCCTCTATTTTCCCAACTTGTGCTCCGACACCCTATACCAGCCCACCCTCCAGCATGGATGCCCTCACTGCCCTATTTGGCTTCTGACTTCTCCTTCCTGCCCCTCAGTAAACACCCTCATCACCCTGCCTGGGCTTTGTTACTCCATGCATGCCACCCCTTTGCCTGCATGGATGCCTACCTTGCCTTGCCCCATCGAGTGCATTTTGGACTGAATTGCTAGGAAGGAAAAGGAAGGAAATGAAGGGGAAGGGAGGAAGAAGAACAAGTTGAGGAAGAAAAATGAATACTTTTGAATGAACATCATTAAAAATATGGGCTGTTTTCTAGTTGAATTTCACCCTCCTGAAGTCTTTCTTTTCTTTTCTTTTTTCCAGGAGGGGGTGGGTCTGTCTCTGTCACCCAGGCTGCAGAGCAGTGGCGCTATCATAGCTTACTGCAGCCTTGAACTCCTGGGGACAAACGATCCTCCCACCTTGGCATCCCACATCCTGAGTAGCTGGGACTACAGGTACAATCCAGCTGAGCTCTTTGCTAGCAGAGTTTAGCAGATGCATTTTTACTCAGATGCCCGTATTATTTATAATTCCAAAGGATCACAAATGAATTTCTGTTCTAATAAGCAAACACACTGATAGTCAATCCAACTGTGAACTGTCTTTTAAAAGGCTTGGATTATAATCAAACAACTATAACTGTTTTCTTATATATGTAATTGTGTTGCTAAAGAGTTTAAAAGTCAGAGACTATAATGGGTATCATATCTTTAATCAGCTTGGAGTTTTAACTGGAATCCAGTTAAATTCTGGGCAAAAATTACAGTGCCCCTAAATGGTCTTTTAATTTTTGGCTGCCTGTATTTAAAAGGAGACTTCAGAGTCTTGCAAACATTTATCTGGCAGCTGCAAATAGATAATCATATTCACTTTAAACACAAATGTAGAGTCCTACTCCTGGCCCATGTTTTTGAAGAGACACTTGTAAGAATGATAAAGTTTAGTCTAGATCATAACCAGCCTTGGAATCCTAGTGCCCTCCACTCAGATAAATATCTCTATGACCTTTCATTTCCATATTCTCATTTATATATTTTATGATAACTAAGAAACCAAACTATAGAAACACTTTTTAAGTTTTCTTCAGGAAAAAAATGTAAAAACATATTTCCAGATATAGAACAGATGCACACAACATGCCTTGAAAATGGTATGAAAACTGTCATTTCAGCCTGCATGATCACATTTTTTCACCTGCTTAGGGAATTGTACATCTCTGGCTTGTTGAACACATTCTTGTCTGTAAAATTGAAGACTGCCAGATCAAAAATGCTGCTTTAAGCATGTTATTTCATAGCTTATATTTTACATTTGGAAGCAAAGCATTAAACTACATACTAAAGCATAATGAAATGATGTTAAAGAATGGAATTGATTTTAAGAAGACACAAGTTGCAGAAATACTTTTGTAGATCAATCAAGATTAATTTATATAGCACTTTTCAAAGTCTAAATATACTGAACTTGGACAATCTAAGCCAAACTGAAACAGTTAGTCTCTTAGACTAAAAGCCCCGGTAATCCTAAGAGTATTTCAATATTTGAAAAAGTACCTACACTAAAGTATTTCAGCTTATATTATTTAATTCTCATTCTGTTGATTAAAAAAATCTTTGCTAAAAGACATAACTTCCTTTTGTCTGTAGACTTCTGGCTTATTTATTATTATTTATTATTATATTAAATACACCAGTTTTGTGAAATTGAAAAAAAGTTCAATATTTGTATATGAAGGCACATAATTCTAAATTTTTATTTTTATTTATGTATTTATACTAGAGAAAGGATATCCCTCTGCCACTCAGGCTGGAGTGTAGTGACATGATCATAGATCCTGTATTAATCCATTCTCATGCTTCTATGAAGAAATACCAGAGACTGGGTAATTTATAAAGAAAAGAGGTTTAATTGACTCCCAGTTCTGCCTAGCTGGGGAGGCCTCAGGAAACTTACAATCATTGCAGAAGGTACCTCTTCACAGGGCAGTAAGAGAGAGAATGAGAGCCAGCAGGGAAGATGCTAGACACTTAACAAAACCATCAGATCTCATGAGAACTCACTCACTATCATGAAAACAGCATGGGGGGAAAATACCCCCATGATCCAATCACTTCTGACTGGGTCCCTCCCATGACCCATGGGGATTATGGGGACTACAATTCAAGAAGAGATGTGGGTGGTGACACAGCCAAACCATATCAACCTCAAACTCCTAGCCTCAAGCAATCCTTCTGCCTCAGCCTTGTGAGTAGCTGGGACCACAGGCATGAACTACTATGCCCAGCTAATTTTTATTTTTTTGCTTTTTATAGAGACAAGGTCTCTCTATATTGCCCAGGCTTGTCTTGAACTCTTGGGCTTAAGTGTTTCTCCTGCCTTGGTCTCCCAAAGTGCCAGGATCACAGGCATGAGCCTGTGATCTAAATTCCAAATTTTTAGAACCTAAAAATACCCTAAGAGCAGAAAATAGTTTTTGAGTAAGGCAATCTATACCTGACCTTTATCAAGTGCTCACTCTATGTGCCTCACGTGTGTTATATCATTGAATCAATCATCACCTTCATCCTAAGGAGCAGACATTTTTGTCATCCTCGTCTTTCAGATGAGGAAATTGAGGCCTGGAAAGGCTGAAGAGTTTGCCCAACGTCACACAGCTGGTATATGGTGGAATAGAAATTTGAACTCAGTATTCTGATTGTATGGTCTATGCTTTTTTTTTTTTTTTTGACAGAGTCTCACTCTGTCACCCAGGCTGGAGTGCAATGGCATAGTCTCGGCTCTTTGCAACCCCTGCCTCCCGGGCACAAACGATTCTCCTGCCTCAGCCTCCCAAGTAGCTGGAACTACAGGTGCATGATACCACATCTGGCTAATTTTTGTATTTTTAGTAGAGATGAGGTTTCATTGTGTTGGCCAGGTTGGTCTCGAACCCCTGACCTCTTGATCTGCCCCCATCAGCCTCCCAAAGTGCTGGGATTACAGGCATGAGCCACCGCCCCCAGCCTATGCTCTTAACCTTTAGAAGATAAGTGAGAGACCAAAAGAAGGTGGAACCCACAATCTTTGAAGTTGTGTTACTTCCCTTATGCTAAATATACTCCATCAGAGTAAGATTATAAAAATAAAAATTGGCATTTTTGCAAGTTCACTGTTCTCTGGAGTTCTAGGAAGCAAAGAAAGAGAATAGAGTTGAGATTATGGTTTAGCTATTCATGGCAATAGGGGAAAATTAGAGAGAGAGCCCAGTCTCCATGGCCCGTGCTCCTGCTCTGGCTTCAGAGCCATGCCTGCCCTTCCCACTGGCCAGTTCCAAGTGTAGACTTACAGGTAAAGGCACAGTTTCTGGATCTAGACACTCTTCAATCCTAATCCCTGATGGAACATTTATCACTAGGAGATTATGGAAAAGTGACAACCTCTCTAAGCCCCATTTTCTTTTTATTTGTGAAAAAAAGATACATAATAAAGTATCTCCTTGAAGTGTTGATTTGGGATTAAATGAGTGAATACCCATACATAATGTAATCAGTCTGTCTCGTACTTCTCCAGCTGCTGCTTGCAGTGCCCTGTTGCTGACCTCTTGCTGTCTGAAACTCTTATCTCATCATACGCTATGATGAGGTATTACTTGTTGGAAAATTCACCTTCTTCTTCCCACATCAAAATTCATGTTTTGTCTATGAAGGTTGATCTCAGTTTGAATTTAGAAATAAAGTGGTCAAGTGAGCCTCCTGAAAGTGTTGGCATCTTAAAAGCAAATGTTACCCACGTAAATCTAGTTTAGAGACTATCAAGCTGCATGACAATGTGCAGGGGATTTCAGGTAGGTAGAGAAGGAGAGATATTGTGATGAGCTTCCTCAGAGCAAAATGTATCCGAACTTTCAAAGGAGTGAAAGGAAAAGAAAAAGTAAAATGTGTTAGCCATGGTCTGTTCTGTTAGAGGGCTGGCCTCTTCCTGATCTGCCCCCCTCCTCACTCAAAGTCCCTTTCAAAAGCCTGAACACTTCCTGCTCTGAAGCCAGAACAAGAGGCTCTGAAGATTGGCCGGCCTGACTGTTTTAAAAGGTTACTGGGTTCACCTTGGAGGTACATAGGGGAATTTTAGAGCTTGTTAGAATGCACATGTGACTGAACAATTAAATTCAAATCAAGTGCTGTGCTGGTTGATCTAATGAAACAGAAAGAGCCAGTTATTGAATGGAGAAATACTTTCAAAAGTAGATCGGCAGGGATTGCTTTGCTGAGATAAGAGAGGATAAAAGTAAGAGCCCTTAAGAATAAGATTCTGAAGTCAGAGAATTTACACATAATGGGATAGCTCACAGTAGCATAAGTCTTGTTACTAGAATCGCTCTGTTGGTCACAATATGAAATATGTGGTCTTTTCTCTTCCTGACTACTCAGCTCCCAAGGACTATTCACAGATACACATATTTACAGTGGCTTGTGCACTGTGTACTGACCATTGACATTGCTAACACGTAAAGGCTAGGAAGAAAGAGAGAATCCATCAATTTCTGCCTACTCATCATCCTTTAGAAGGAAGAATTTGTAGAGCTGAAGCAGAAACATCCACTGCCTTTGTGTTTGCCTGGACTCTGTCTGTAGAGCTTGCTTCTTTGTATTCACTCTCTGTGGTTCTATAAGAAGTAATTTAAAGGATAATTTTATTAGTATCCAGTCCAGAGAGAACTTCTTTTAAAAACTCAGTGATCTTTAGCACTGCTTTGTCTTTCTCATAAATTCAACATAAGCCCCTTAACAATACATTTGCCTGGAAAGGAGCAACTCCCCTCAAGGCCAGGGCTGTCAAGGCTGTGACTTCAACCACCAGGCAATGCAGCTGATTAAGTCCTTGAGGAGCAGAGGGTAGGGAGACTTGGAAACCTAAATCCATTGCAGGAGAAGAAGTGCCCCATATGAGCACGACTGTAATAGTATAGGGAAAGAAAGGAATGCAAATAGCCAAAAGTGTGAGATCATGCCCTTTTAAAAACCATTTTACATTTGTAATTTTCTGTTTAGTGAATGATGAGATTGAAAATCAGGTCATAGGTTCAGCAGAAAAAAATAGGTCAGTATTCAGAAACAAAAATGAGGAAGAGTCTGGGTAAAAGATAGAGCTAAATGGACTATTTTAGACCTATGTGAGAGACATTGATTGCCTTGAGAAAATAGAAATACCAATTTCTGATGAGCGTTGTCTGTTGGGAAAAACTCTGTTGGGAGCATGATCTTTGATTTTTGTTTATAGGATGGACTCTTCTTATTTTGTAACCTCAGCGGGAGGAGAGTTACTTTACATGAGGTTTCAGATTTTGCTTCTCTTATTCCTGGTTTGGTCTCTCCCTTCTGTGGTCAGGGATTTTATTGTTTAGGATGAGACATGTTAGTTTGTAGAATTATCTGTCTAACACCTCCATCAATATTCCCTGCTTAGTATTCCTGGCCTTCCTCACTGTGTTCTGTGAATTGTTATCTGATTCTGTTTATGCCACCGTCATCTGCACCTCATGATTATATTTGTGACCTTGGTTATATCACTCATTCTCTCTGTCTCAGTACCCTCCTTTGATAAAGAAGAATGACAGTTACTTCTAAGATCTTTAGAGAAAAATGTATGTCCTCAGTTATTCATGAAATTACTTATCAGAGTCCTAGGAACTGTAAAACTGAGAAGGTACTTAAACAAAAAATATAGCATTGGAAATTCTACATGTTTGTTATTGTCTATTTTTTTTAAAACTAAATGTAACACAGTCATAAGCCGTTGCTATGTATTTGAACATGTTACTGTGTTGGATTCTATATACTGTAACTAAGACATGGCTCCTTTTCATCAAAAAAAGTGAGAATAATGTGCCACGATATTTGAGACACATAAATGAATGAGCAACATAAAATATAATCATGTCTAATTGCTCTCATCCCAGAGAAATTAAAATATATTTGAATCAAATATGTATTTAAATCCCAGGAATTACCCACTAATTTCAACCAATACTCAAAGAAATCAAACCAATACATCTTTTGTCAAATATTTGTGTTTCAGGCTCTTTGCTGACCACAAGGTTTACAAGAAGAATATGAAGGCCCTTTTGTTGCTGAGATTATAGTCTGATGGGGAAGACAGACTTTGCCCTAAAGGGAAAGAACAGTCATTAAATGTCTTACAGCAGAGAATGCTTTGTATAGCCTTGTATTTTAGAAATATAATTTTGAGTTTCCTGTGAAGAACATTTTGTGGCAGGTATCAGAAAAAAACTGAAGACTGAAGAACAGTTTGTAGGCTCTGGAAATATCAAGTGTCTACAAAATACAAAATTTTGTTAAGCACTGAAAATTCTAGAACAATATATATGACATTGTTCTTGCCTCCATCAACCTAAATAACTGAGAGAGACTTTCTAAAAGAAAATAATATTTATTTGGGAATAGAGCATTGCAATGGGTATAAATGTGCCGTAGTGAACTATTTCATATGTGTACATTCAGGAAGGTAAAGGAAGACAAGGGTTTTTGAAGGAAAAATGAGAAAGATTACATAATTGTTTTGAGATAATTCTCCTTAGTAACCAGGATCAACAACAACAGTCCAAATTTGGACAGGCAATTGTCCTCTCAGAAGTATTTTTTCGTAAGGTTGTGATGGCCTTTGTGCAAGACTAATAACAAGTCTTGTTATTAGTCATTTATGCATGAGAATGTTCCCACTGTGGCCTTCTCGGACTCCAGTTTTTTTTGTTTTTTTTTAAACACGAGTGACTCCATTTTGATTCTGACATCTTTCACATCTCCAAGTAGTTAGCATATATGTACAGACACATGGCGTAAAACCACAGGAGGGTAGATAACAATACTGGCTTTGTATTCCTTAGAGGCTTAAAGTGTTTTTATTTTTCTTTGTATTTCATTTTTGGAGCAGAGTTGTTGCTCAGTAAGTATTTTAAAGAATGAGTGGGCTTAAAGACTATCTAACAAACAAATGATAAACAATTTTAAAGGGATGAGAATTTCACCTAAACAAATAATTACCACTGAGTGTGAAGACTTCAGGTATTAGGTAGAGACAGCAGAGAAGAGGGAGTCATTAACTCCCTTCACATGAGACAGGACATCTTCTCTGAAATGGACCTGCAGGTAACATTTTTTTCCAGATGGGCACAAGGAGATAAGAATATTTTACAGAGAAATCCACGAGCAAAAGCATGGTAGTTGAGAAAATATTTGCAATTCTCCAGCTTTCTGTGAATTAGTCACCTGGAGTATATGCAGGAAGGGATTAGGGCTAAAAGATAAGAGGAATTCAATAGATGGAGACCACATATCGAAGAGCTTCATATGCTATGCAAAGTAATTTAAATCATACCTTGTAGTCCCTTAAGAGATTTTGAGCAGGGGAGAGGAATGGTCAGATGTGTTAGTAGTTCACTTCAGCAGCATTATGGAGGATGCATTGGAGAAACTGAAGCAAAGTCAGGAAGAGTAATTAAATTGTTATTGGGAAACTTCCATTTAAGGGCAGTTAAGATGATGGTTCTGCTTTCCAAATTCACCCAAAACAACAGAAAACTGAAAACTTAGACTCTAGTATTGACAAAAAAACAAAACAAAAAACCCTAGAAGGTCTCTTGACTCTGAACTACCATTTATGAGGGGGATGGAAGATTATGGGAAGACACAATAAATAATCTTCTTGACTGAATATTGCAGGCATTAGAGCTGAGTACTATACTTTCAAGCAGGTGGAATACACTGAAGCAAGGTTATAAGCCATTACATTATAGAAACATAGCATCTGAGGGCAGAGAAGGGAGAGAGAGTTACTGGGAAATAGTGTAAGTATGTTATTATAGGTATGTAGCTGTCAATAAAAAAAAAAAAAGGAATTTGAACTAGGATTGTCATTTTACCTCCTTTAGGGCAGAATGCATAAGTTGCCAAGAAAATCCAAGAGTTACACTAAATAAATTCTCCGCACTGAAGAAACATGAGTGGTGGGTAAAAATTGTTCTGCTGACAAATATGGATGAAAAAAGACCCTCATTTTATAACAGCATTCTGAGAATTTATATAATGAGAAAAAGGGCAATAACTTCCAAAATTAAGGGATAGTTCAATATATGATAAAAGTCATCTTACTGAAGTGTACAATTCAGTGGTTTTTAGTATATTTACAGAGTTGTGCAATGACTGCTATTGTCTAACTTCAGAACATTTTAATCACTCGTAGAAGAAACTGTATCCATAGCAGTCACCCTCTATTCTCCCCACTCCTCCCACTCCTGGCAATAGTAGCCAACTTTATGTCTCTATGGATTTGTCTATTCTGGACATTTTATATAAATGTAATCATATAATAAGTGGCTTGTTGTGCCTGGCTTCTTTTACTTGGCATGTTTTTAAGGTTCATCCATGTATGTATCAGAAATCCATGATGTTTTGTAGAGAGATACTCTATTACGTGGATAAATCGTTTTGTTTGTTCATTCATTCGCTGATGGACATTTGGATTGTTTTTGTCTTCTGGCTATTATGAAAAATGTAATGAACATTCATGTACAACTTTTTCTGTAGACATATGTTTTAATTCTCTTCAGCATATACCTAGGAGTAGATATGCTGGGTCATCTGGTAACTCTGTGTTTGATTTTTGAGGACCTGACATTGTTTTAAAAGTGGCTGCACCAATTTACATTCTCACCAGTAATGTATGGGTACTGTAGGTCTCCTTTGGAGAAATGTTTATTCAAACTCTTTGCTCATTGTTTATGTCTTTTTATTGTTGAATTGTAAGCGTTCTTTACATATTCTTGATATTAGTCCCTTATCAGATACATGATTTAAAAACATTTTCTTCCATTCTGTAGGTTGTCTTTTTATTTTTATTTTTTAATTAATTAATTAATTATTTTAGAAATGGGGTCTTGCTTTGTTGTCCAGGCTGGTCTTGAGCTTCTGGCCTCAGGCAGTCCTCCTGCCTTGGCCTTCCAAAGTGTTGAGATTACAGGCATATTCCACTGTGCAGCCTGATTTCCTTGATAGTGTTTTTTGAAGCACAAAAGTTTTAAGTTTGAATAAACTATAGTTTATCTATTTTTCTTTGTTCTCATGCTTTTAGTTTCATGCTATGAAACCCTTACCCAACCCAACGCCACAAAGATTTATGCCTATGTTTTATTCTAAGATTTTTATAGTTTGGGCTCTTATATTAAGAATTTGATTCATTTTAAGTTAATTTTGTGTATGGTGAGAGGTGGGAGGTCCAGCTTCAATTTTTGTATGTGGAAATCTAATTGTCCCAGTGGCATTTGTTGAAAAGTCTATTTTTTCCCCATTAAAGTGTCTTGGCACTCTAATGAAAATCAATTGACCATAAAAGTAGAGGTTTTTTCCTGGATTTCTGTCATATTCTCTTGATCTATATTTGTATCCTTGTTCCAGTATCACATTGTCTTGATTATTGGAACTTGTAGTAAGTTCTGAAATCAGAAAGTGTGAGACCTCCAACTCTATTTGTTTTCAAGATTGTTTTGGTTATTCTGTGTCTTTTGCACTTCCATATTAATTTTAGAATTAGCTTGTAGATTTCTGCAAAGATGCTAACTCAGATTTTGATGGGGATTCTGTTGAATCTGTAGATCAATCTGGGGGAGTATTGTCGTCTTAACAGTATTAAGTCTTTATATCCATGAACATGGGATATCTTTATATTTATTTAGATCTTTAATTTCTTTCAAGAGTATTTAATATTTTTAAGAGTTCAAGTTTTGTACTTCTTTTGTTACATTTATTGCCTCATATTTTGCTGTTTGATACTATTATAAATGTAATTTATTCCTTAATTTTATTTTTGATTGTTTATTGCTAGTACATACAGATACAATTAAATTTTGCATATTAATTTTTTTTGGTCCTGCAACCATTCTGGGTTAGTTTATTACATCTAGTAGGTTGTGTGTGCATGTACATGTGTACTTTTCTTAGGATTTTCTACATACAAAATCAGGTCATCTGCAAAAAGAGAGTTTTACGTCTTCATTTCCAGTCTGGATGCCGCTTATTTATTTTCCTTGCCTAATTGTCCTACATACAAACTGCAGTGCAATGTTGAATACAAGTGTCAAGAGCAGATATCTTGTTCATTACTGATTTTAGGAGAAAAGCTATCAGTTTTCATGACGTGATTCATTAAATATGATGCTGTCAGTGTTTTTTTGTAGATTTCTTTTATTGCTATTACATTATTATGAATGTAAATAAACTCTGCATTCTTGGGATAAACTTCAGGTCATGGCCATGATATGTAACTCCTTTTTATGTGTTTCTGAGTTTGGCTTACTTATATTTTATTGAGAATTTTGAGTCTTTGTTCACGAGGCAAATTGATTTGTGATACTCATTCCTTGTGATATCTGTGTCTGGACTTGGCATCAGAGTAATACTGGCCTCATAGAATGAATTAAGTATTGTTCCCCCCTCTTCTATTTTTCTGGGGAAAGAGTTTGTAAAGGGTTGGTATTAATTCTTTTTTAAATATTTGGTAGATTTCATCAGTGAACCTATGTGGTCTTGGTCTTTTCTTTGCACAAAGATTTTTAATTACTAGTTTAATTTCCTTCCTGGCTATAGGTCTATTCAGAATTTCTATTTCTTCATAATTCAGTTTTGACAGGTTATGTATTTCCAATAATTTATCTGTTTTATCTAGGTTGCCCAATTTGTTGGAGTACAATCATTTGTAATATTCTGTTATAATAATTTTTATTTATATAAAATTGGTTGTAATGTTCTCTTTTTCATTTCTAATTTTAGTTATTTGAGTCTTCTCTCTTCATTTCTTGGTTGATCCAGCTTAAGGTTTGTCATTCTTTCCAAAACTAAACTTTTGGTTTCATTGATGTTCATTATTGTTGTTCTATTCTTTGTTTCATTTATTTCCATGTTAATCTTTATTATTTCCTTCTTTATTCTTTGCTCTTCTTTTTCTATAATGGAAGCTTAGGTTATTGATTTGAGATCTCTTTTTAAAATATAGATGTTTACAGCTATAATTTTTCCTCAAAGCACTAATTTTTCTCATGCTTTCAATTATTGAATATAGTGTTTTTTTTTTTTTTGGTTTTCATCCATATCAAAGCATTTTGTAATTTTTCTTATAATTTTTCTTTGACCCATTAGTTATTTCGGAATGTGTTGTTTTATTTCCATGCCTTTGTAAATTCCCTAAATTTCCTTCTGTTACTGATTTCTAATGTCATTCTATTGTGGTCAGTGAAGATATTTTATATAATTTCGATACTTTTAAACCTATTAAGACTTGTTTTAGGGCCGAATATATGTTTTTTTTTCTCTGCAGAATATTCTAGGTGTACTTGAGAATAATGTGTATTTTATTTTTTGATGCAGTGTTCTATATATATCTATTGGGTCTAGCTGATTATAATGTTCAAGTCCTCTATTGTTGTCTTCTGTCTAGTTGTTTTATTCATTATTGAAAGTGGGATATTGAAGTTTTCAACTATTATTGTTGAATTTTCTGTTCCTTCCTTCAATTCTGTCAGTTTTTGCTCATGTGTTTTTGGACTCTGGTTGTTAGCGGCATATACATTTATAATTACATTTTTCTGAAAGGTAAGCCCTTTTATCATTATGAAATGTTTTTCTCTTCCTCTCTCTCTCTCTCTCCCTCCCTCCTTCCTTCCTTCCCTCCCTCCCTCCTTCGCTCTCTCTCTCTCTCCTTCCCTCCTTCCTTCCCTCCCTCCCTCCTTCCTTCTCTCTCTCTTTCTTTCGTTCATTCGTTTGTTCTTTCTTTCCTATTTTCAGGGTCTCACTCTATCATCCAGGCTGCAGTGCAGTGGCGTGATCTTGGCTCACGGCAGCTTCGACTTCCTGGGCTCAAGTGATCCTTTCATTTATCTTCCTAGTAGCTGGGACCACAGGTGCATACTACCATGTCTGGCTAATTGTTATATTTTTAGTAGAGACGGGATAACATTTTTAATATTACAGTTACTCCAGCTTTTTGAGGATTGTTATTTGCATAATATAGTTTTCTCATCATCTTACTTTCTATTTGAATGTTTGGATGTAAACTGTGTCTTTTGTAGACAGTATAGAGATGGATCATATTTTTAAATTCTTAATCATTTTTTACTATTTTTTTGAGTTTCTTTTTTAATGGTTGCCCTGGGGATAATATTGGCACCTTATTAATACCTTATAACAACCCTGTTCTGATTTTTCCCAACTTTATTTTAGCAGTATACAAAACCTTTTGTTCTACTTAACTCTGTTATGTCCTCCATCTTTTGTATTATTATTGTCATACAAATTACATTTTTATACCTTATGTGCCTATCAACACAGATTTATAATTGTTGTTGTTTTCAGATTATTTTTAAATCAGGTAGCAGTATAAAAGCCTTACAGACAAAAATTTCTTTTGTCATTCAAATTTACCTATCTAGTTACCTTTACCAGTGCTATTTGTTTATTCATATGGATTCAAGTAATTGCCGAGTGTGCTTTCATTTCTATTTGAAGAAATCTCTTTAGTATTTCTTGTAAGACAGGTCTGCTTGTGATGACTTTCTTTGGTTTTGTTTATCTGAAAATATATCTTAATTTCTCTTTCATTTTTGAAGGATTGTTTTACTGGCTACAGTATCTTGGTCAATAATATTGTTATTTTATCACTTTAAATATGTCATCTCACTGCCATCTGGCCTCCAGGACCAGAAGAGAAATCAGGTGCTAATCTTATTGAGGATAAATTGTATGTGGTAAATTGCTGCTCTGTTACTACTTTCAAGATTCTCTTTTGTCTTTAGATTTGATAGTTTGATTATAATGTTTTTAGGAGTGGATCTCTTTAAGTTTGTTCTATTTGGAGTTTGTTGAACTTCTTGAATGTGTACATTAATGCCCTTCATCAAATTCAGAAAATTTTTGACAATTATTTTCTCAAATATTCTTTCTGCCTTCTTTCTTATTCTTCTGGGACTTCTATGATGCATATTTGATATGCTTGATGGTGTTTCAAAGGTCCCTGAGGATCTGTTAACTTTTTTCATTTTTGTTTCTTTCTATTCTGAAGACTGGACAACCTTAATTAAAGTCAGTCAATTTGTCCTTTTATTGACTCACATCTGCTGTTGAGTTCTCTCTAGCAAATTTATTGTACCTTCTACTCCATAATTTCTATTGGTTCTTTAAAAAATAATATCCATGTGTTTGTTTGTATTCTATATTTTACTGGGTAGTGTTCTCATACTTTCCTTTAATATTTTTAGATGTGATTTTTTGGGAACGTATTTGAAATAACTGATTTAAAGTCTTTGTCTCATAAGCCAATCATCAGCAAATTCTCAAGGGGCGGTTTCTATTGATGCTTCATTTTCTCTGTATAGGCCATACTTTCTTGATTATTTACATGCCTCAATTTTTGTTGTTGTTGAACACTGAACATTTAAAATAATATAATTTTGGGTTGGAAACAGTGGCTTATGCCTGGAATCCCAGCACTTAGGGAGGCCAAGATGGGAGGATCACTTGAGGCTAGGAGTTTGAGACCAGCCTGGGCAACATAGTGAGACCTCCATTTGTCCAAAAAATTAAAAAAAATTACCTAGGCACAGTGGTACATACCTGTATTCCCAGGTACTCATGAGGCTGAGAAATGAGGATTGCTTGAGCCCAGGGAGTCATGGCTGCAGAGAGCTGTGATGACACCACTGCACTTCAGCTTGGGTGACAGAGTAAGACCTTGCCCCAATAAATAAATAAAGAAAATCATAATGTAAATTGAAAACTTTGTAAATCAAGATTTTTCATCTCTCCTAAGGTTCATCATTGCTCTATGTTGTTGTGTTGCTGTTTCTTTATTTAGTGCCCCTCTTAAGCTAACTCCATAGTCAGCTAATGATTGAACAGAGATTTCCTTAAATGCTTTGAACCAATATGACATCCAGCCTTTGCAAGAGCTTCTGTGTATGTTTTAGGCATGCCTTCAATGCCTTCAGTCAGGAAGCATATATCTCTGCGTTTGTCTTCATTATTCCTGCCTTTACAGTGCCTAAAGGTCAGCTTAGGACCGTCTCAGTTTTTTTCTATGTGTATTCACAGGCTTTGGCAAGTGTCCAGCCCTATACATTTCCATGGACTTCTCAATTTCCTGTAATACATTGGAGCTTTCTAAAGACATGCAAAGCTTGTACATACATTGCATACCCCAGCTTTTTCTTTATTTTATTTTATTTATTTTTTTTGAATTGTATTATTATTATATTTTAAGTTTTAGGGTACATGTGCACGATGTGCAGGTTAGTTACATATGTATACATGTGCCATGCTGGTGTGCTGCACCCATTAACTCGTCATTTAGCATTAGGTATATCTCCTAATGCTATCCCTCCCCCCTCCCCCTACCCCACAACAGTCCCCAGAGTGTGATGTTCCCCTTCCTGTGTCCATGTGTTCTCATTGTTCAATTCCCACCTATGACTGAGAACATGTGGTGTTTGGTTTTTTGTCCTTGTGATAATTTACTAAGAATGATGATTTCCAATTTCATCCATGTCCCTACAAAGGACATGAACTCATCATTTTTTATGGCTGCATAGTATTCCATGGTGTATATGTGCCACATTTTCTTAATCCAGTCTATCATTGTTGGACATTTAGGTTGGTTCCAAGTCTTTGCTCTTGTGAATAGTGCCGCAATAAACATACGTGTGCATGTGTCTTTATAGGAGCATGATTTATAGTCTTTTGGGTATATACCCAGTAATGGGATGGCTGGGTCAAATGGTATTTCTAGTTCTAGATCCCTGAGGAATTGCCACACTGACTTCCACAATGGTTGAACTAGTTTACAGTCCCACCAACAGTGTAAAATTGTTCCTATTTCTCCACATCCTCTCCAGAACCTGTTGTTTCCTGACTTTTTAATGATTGCCATTCTAACTGGTGTGAGATGGTATCTCATTGTGGTTTTGATTTGCATTTCTCTGATGGCCAGTGATGGCGAGCATTTTTTCATGTGTTTTTTGGCTGCATAAATGTCTTCTTTTGAGAAGTGTCTGTTCATGTCCTTCGCCCACTTTTTGATGGGGTTGTTTGTTTTTTTCTTGTAAATTTGTTTGAGTTCATTGTAGATTCTGGATATTAGCCCTTTGTCAGATGAGTAGGTTGCAAAAATTTTCTCCCATTCTGTAGGTTGCCTGTTCACTCTGATGGTGGTTTCTTTTGCTGTGCAGAAGCTCTTTAGTTTAATTAGATCCCATTTGTCAATTTTGTCTTTTGTTGCCATTGCTTTTGGTGTTTTAGACATGAAGTCCTTGCCCATGCCTATGTCCTGAATGGTAATGCCTAGGTTTTCTTCTAGGGTTTTTATGGTTTTAGGTCTAACGTTTAAGTCTTTAATCCATCTGGAATTAATTTTTGTATAAGGTGTAAGGAAGGGATCCAGTTTCAGCTTTCTACATATGGCTAGCCAGTTTTCCCGGCACCATTTATTAAATGTCTTCCCAGCACCTTTCCCCATTGCTTGTTTTTGTCAGGTTTGTCAAAGATCAGATAGTTTTAGATATGTGGCGTTATTTCTGAGGGCTCTGTTCTGTTCCATTGATCTATATCTCTGTTTTGGTACCAGTACCATGCTGTTTTGGTTACTGTAGCCTTGTAGTATAGTTTGAAGTCAGGTAGCATGATGCCTCCAGCTTTGTTCTTTTGGCTTAGGATTGACTTGGCGATGCGGGCTCTTTTTTGGTTCCATATGAACTTTAAAGTAGTTTTTTCCAATTCTGTGAAGAAAGGCATTGGTAGCTTGATGGGGATGGCATTGAATCTATAAATTACCTTGGGCAGTATGGCCATTTTCACAATATTGATTCTTCCTACCCAGGAGCATGGAATGTTCTTCCATTTCTTTGTATACTCTTTTATTTCATTGAGCAGTGATTTGTAGTTCTCCTTGAAGAGGTCCTTCACGTCCCTTGTAAGTTGGATTCCTAGGTATTTTATTCTCTTTGAAGCAATTGTGAATGGGAGTTCACTCATGATTTGGCTCTCTGTTTGTCTGTTATTGGTGTATAAGAATGCTTGTGATTTTTGCACATTGATTTTGTATCCTGAGACGGCTGAAGTTGCCTATCAGCTTAAGGAGATTTTGGGCTGAGACGATGGGGTTTTCTAGATATACGATCATGTCATCTGCAAACAGGGACAATTTGTCTTCCTCTTTTCCTAATTGAATACCCTTTCTTTCCTTCTCCTGCCTAATTGCCCTGGCCAGAACTTCCAACACTATGTTGAATAGGAGTGGTGAGAGAGGGCATCCCTGTCATGTATCCAACCACAGCTTTTTTTCTTTCAGAAATTTTTGGCCAGGCTCTTATTTACTGGTGTTACTGTTTTAGGCAGCATTAGGTTAAACAATTGCTGCTGACTGCGTTGGTCAAAAGTTCCATGGAAAAGGCTACTGGCACTGACCAAGGTCTGAATCATATCAAATAACAACAAACCCTGAGAATGGGTTTTCCAGGGACTTTCCAGACATGGAAAAAAGTAACAGTTCTCTGAATATGGTTTTCTTAGTTTTGTTCTGCTGTAACAGAATATCGCAGACTGCATAATTTATAATGAACAGAATTTTAGTGACTTAGAGCTCTGGAGGCTGGAAAGTTCAAGATCAAAGGACCAGCATCTAGCAAGGACCTTCTTGCTGTGTATCCCATGACAAAAGGGCTGAAAAGAGAGAGAGGCAAAAAAGGGCTGAATTTTCCTTCTATAAAAAAATCCATTCCCACAATAATGCCATTAATCCATTTATGAAAGCAGAGTCCTCATGTCCTAGTTACTTCTTGAAGGTCTCACCTCTTAAAACTGTTTCACTGGAAATAAAGTTTTCAATGCATGCTTTTTGAAGTACATATTCTAACAGTAGTATTCTGCCCTGGCCCCCCAAATTTACTGGAGAAAGATCACTGACACTCTCAGAGGAAAGTCTCAGAAAAAATGAAAACTTATGAAAAATATAGAGTTTTATGATAATAATTTTTTTTTGAGCCAGAATCCTGCTCCATTGCCCAGGCCAGGGTGCAATGGCAAAATCTTGGCTCACTACAACCTCTGCCTTGCAGGTTCAAGCAATTCTTCTGCGTCAGCCTCCCAAGTAGCTGGGACTACAGGCGTGTGCCACCGTGCACAGCTAATTTTTTTTTTATTTTTGGTGGAGATTGGGTTTCATCATGTTGGCCAGACTTGTCTCAAGCTCCTGACCTCAGGTGATCTGCCTGCCTTGGCCTCCCAAAGTGCTGGGATTACAGGCATGGGCCACTGTGCCTAGCCTGAAAATTTTCATGAGGAGGATTTTTACACAGATGGTAGAAGTATGAGGGGATATAGCCTAAGATACAGAGAAATCAAGCAAATGAAAATATTAGGGATATGTTTTACATCTAGAAAAAAAAGATGTTGAAGAAAGGGAATCTAGTTATAGTTTGTTACTTGGCTCAGTAGTAAGTAGTAGCTTGCATACTCATAGTAATACAAACACTGAAATGAAAACAACCAAAATTTGTGATATAACAGTGTAACAAGATGGGATATAGAGAAGGGTGTAAATTCCTGTAATAGCAATTTAACAAATATTGCCTGAAATTGATGTAGTGATAGCAGAATACACCTATTACTGAGAAATTTTGAAGTCAATTACAGAAGTAAAATTTGAACATAGTTGCTCCTGAAGAAGATGAAGATTACAGGAGATGTGTGTGTGTGTGTGTGTGTGTGTGTGTGTCTATAAAATGTCTCATAATGATATTTACTTTTAGCTAGTAAATACTGACCACATTCAGCTCAGTTTTGGTGATGTGTTTAGCATGAAGCTTTATGGTAAGGGGCTGGAAACTGAATGAGAGTAAGAAGTGTAGTCTGTTTTTCAAAAGAATAGTAAGCTAGTTTTTCAAAAAAGTTGACTGGAAGAGTGGGGGAATAAAGCAGAAGGGTGAGGCAAATGTTGATTAGTGATTGGGTGACTTTATCGGCCCAATATTTATTTTTAGAAAAATTTTTGAATGTGTATAGACTGAGGGAAAAATACATGGTAAGAAAATTTCAGAGAATGAGGCTGGAGAGGTTTGAAAAGATGCTTCTTTCTCTGAGATTCAGTGGAGTGCTAAAGGGAAGAGAATGAATGTAGATAGATTTCTATGAAGACAGATAAGGAGCTGAGGACTTTTTTTTTCCTGGTAAACCTCTAGAATAAGAATAAAACAAGGTTATTCACTGTGAAGTGAACTGATTGGTTTTTGAAGGGAATGATGAGGGTTTGAAATAGCTGCTTGGGGGATTGGCAATTGGCACTGACACATATAAAATGCAAGTGGTGGGGAAAAACCAAAAGATGTTTGAGGCACTATGAATTTATTATCACTCAATATACATAAGATTATGCCCACTACCCCTGAATTCACTATCAGGTAATTAGAAGAAATCAGTAGTGCTCAGTGGTTTGGGTGTGAGAGTGGAGAATAGGGATTGCTAGTTAGGACCAGGGATGAGGAAGTTAGAGTTAATTTGGGTAAAAGGGCCCTGTTAAAAGAGCTAGAAAAAGAGTGGCCCAAGTGGCTATGCTTGGGTAGGGAAGGAGGTAAAGTCAGGAAAATGGTGTGTTCAAGAGACTAATAGTATCTATAAGGTTGAAGAAAAGTTTTAGTGAGATAAAATGGATTTTGAAAACTTACAAAAAAAGAAGTTGAGATGTAAATTTTCTGTCAACCAAATAACTTGGTTTGTGTAGTCTCCTGAGGTTTAAGTGAAAAGCAATTTAATTTTTATTTATGTAATTATATTATCTGTAAAGACAAGGTATTTGCATATTTAGATGGGGAATGATGTATTGATGTTGAATAGTAGGACAAATGGCCTCTACTCCTTCAAATTTGAGGAAGAATTTCTTAAGGAAATGTGGTTTCAGAAGATTTTTAAAGGATGGTAAAAAAAAAGAGTTTTTGAGAAGGTAGGGTGAAGAGGGCAGTCCAATTACTGCATAGGAGAAATGGACTGAGAATTGGATAAAGAGAATCATGGGTTTTAATTCTTAACATTCAGAAGTGTCTTTCCTAGGAAAATGAGATCCAGTTGGGCCTATGTTCTTAATCTCCCCTTGGGTTAAATCTCTTTCTTGTTATCTCCCTGACTAATGTGTGTGTGGTTGGATGTTAAAGCTCATGAATTATCCTGAATGACATATGCACACAGCTAATCAGCTTCCTTTCATTCTGCCCCTTCTAGCTCTGCTTCCTCAGCCACAGATGCTGATTTAGCTGCCTCTGTTTCCAAAGCAGGAGCTGGAGAGTGGGGTGGGCATGAGAAAGTGTACCCCAAAGAGGAAAATGTAAAGAGTGGAAGAGGAAAATTTAAAATAACAAAGTAACTCAAAATGGGAATGAGGGATTTGAATAAAAATATTGTTTATGAAAACAATGGAGTTTGTGAAAGGAATGAAAATGGTATCGGGGAAGAGGAAAGGTGAGGAAGAACATGAACAAAAGGATGACAATGTCAGAAAGTGTCTTAGTCGCTTTGAGATTGCTGTCTTGCTGGTTTGTTATGAAAACCAATAAATGTGGGACCTTTATTCAACTATTTGTTCTTACCTCTTTTTCCATTGTGAACGTGTTTGGGAATAGATGTCACATGGAAGGCACACAGTCATGGATGTACCCAGGTTTGTTTGTCATTTGTAGCACACTAATTTTAATTTTATTCCTTTATCTTTCAGCTAACAATGTATATATTATAAACAAACAGGTAAAAGTGATCTTGTTCCAGAAATAACCACTTTATTTATTTATTTATTTATTTATTTTCTTTTTCTTTTTTTTGAGATGGAGTCTCGCTCTGTCATCCAGGCTGAAGTGCAGTGGTGCAATCTCAGCTCATTGCAACCTCCACTTCCCAGGTCCAAGCCATTCTCCTGCCTCAGCCTCCCAAGTAGTTGGGATTACAGGCGTGCAACACCATGCACAGCTAATTTTTGTTAGCAGAGATGGGGTTTCACCATGTTGTCCAGGCTGGTCTTGAACTCTTGACCTCAAGTGATCCACCCGCCTCAGCTTCCCAAAGTGCTGGGATTACAGGCACGACCCACCGTGCCTGGCCACTTTATTTTTAACATATAAAATCTTTAATAACTTAACTGTTATCATAGATCACTTTTCAGAACTCTCACAACCAACTAAAACACCTAGGTCAAAGACAACCATGGTAAGTTACTTCTGAAATTTTGTATGCCAGTTTGCTGTGTAATACAGAGTAGTTTCTATATATATACATAAGTAGCTGGGGGAGTAGGAGTTGCAATCAATTTGGCGAATAATTCTTGAGAATCTCTAATGTTCTAGGCACTTTGATCTTGATCACTTATCATAAACTCTCTGAGAGCGGTATCCTTGTTGATTCTGTCACCTTTTCTTTCTCCAGCTTTTCCTCCTCCTTCTGACAGCCATTTCTGTCTAATATATACTATGTGTTCTACAAATAAGTGCATAAATTATGGGTGCCTTGGTGCTAAAGAAAACAAATGATGTAGAATCTTTCTTCAAGTACTATTGTAAATGAAGAAGAAGAAGAAAACATATACAATTAAAATGGTGATGGTTGTAATTTCTTCATGTGTGAGTGTTTTATTTTCTCCCTGCCCTACACTAGCATTATTCAATTCCTGTGTCATCTAAAAAGAGAGATATTTTCCAAGGAAGTTCTAAATTTTGGAAGATGCAGAATCAGGAGTGTCTGAATACTGGAGCAAAAACCAGATAAATAAGAGGCTAATTCAATCTAAAAAAAGTAAAGCAAGAAATGCCATGGGTACTGGGTAAATGGGAGAATTTAGGAAGATTTAGCTGTGAATTATTTTAGAGCAGCTGAAGGAAGATATGAGAAAGAATTAGGAAAAGGCAAAAGAACTTTTTGAGAAGTGTTCTTGTGGGTTATAAACTGCAAAGCACTTACAAATGTCAAGATGTGAATACAAATTAAAATTGTATTTTAAATATTTGGATTGCTGGTCTGTCGTTTGAACATACTTTGTGTGTGGAGTGAGTCATGTGGCGCCT